>NC_000007.14:151428076-151579591 GCF_000001405.40 Homo sapiens
TTGATTATGGCAAAATACACATACAATTTATCATCCTAACCATTTGAAGTGTGTGGTTGAGTGGCATTAAGTACACACACATAGTCGTGCGGCCGTCAGCACCATCTGTCTGTCTCCAGAAGTCTGTCATCTTCACAAACTGAAACTCTGGAGCTAAACCTTTAAAACTGTCTCATTTGACAAGTTTTTTGTTAGTTTGTCTTTTTCTTTCTTCTTTTTTTTTTTTTTTTTTTGACGTCCCTGGGCTCAAACTCATCCAACAGGCTTTGATTGAAGATCTGTTGTGGCTTCCTGGGGGGAACACAGGCAGGACAGCCCTGCTCTTAAGGCACCCAGTGGGGTGAAGAGGTGAGCCAAGAAGCCTCCAGCCAAGAAGGCGGTAGCCTGCCAGGCGCAGGCCACCTCGGGGCATGGGAGGGAGGCCCAGGAAGGGGAAGGGGCCAACAGAGACTTCTTGGACCAGCCCTTGGCTGGTGAGAGGAACTTCTTGGTGCGGGGGATGGGGTGGCTGGGGGGATTCAAAGGGAATGTTTTTCCTGTGGTCAGACTGGGCCTGATAAACAGTGCACGGGGGGCCAGCAGGGCAGGGGGACCTAGGGCTGAGGACATGAGGGGATGGCTCTGTGAAAGTCCCAGCTTTCCAAACCACAGAGGGAGGTAGAAATATGTGAAGCATGTGTGGCTCTTGAGGGCCTCTCACCCTCGGTCCATCGACCCCTGGACGGACTTCAGATAAATTACAAGCTGCCCACAAGCACTTTGGTGGGAATCTTGTTTTTCCTCTTTCAGACAAAAAGCAGATTTGCTGACAGATTAGGGAGCAGGGGGCTGGGGTGAGGGGGAGGTCACCCAGGAGCACAAAGCCCATTCGAGAAGCATTAAATCACCAGTTAATGAGATGCTGCTAAGCCTTGGTGCTGGGGAGGAGAGGAAGAGTTCAGGGGAAGCCTCTGGAACTCATGGGAAGGGCTGCTAGGCCTGGTTTTTCCCGTGACTCCCAAGGACCTGGACTGAACCGGTGGGGCCTGCAGTTCTCATTTCATTCCCCAGGCATTAATTGCCTATGAGGGGGCGGAATGATTACCACTGCTGTACGTCTGAAGACACTGAGACACACAGCAGTGGCTTCTCCAATGTCACATCCTAGTGAGGGATGGAGTGGGAATCAGGTTGGAGTTTGGAGCCAAGTTACCTTCTCTCCTGTGATGCCACTCCCCTGCCTGCTTCCCCACCCCGTCACCTACTGGGTCACCTACTACTAACCAGCCCTCATATGGCACCCGCTCATGGGTCACGCCTTTGGCTTTTACAAGGGTATACAGTTGGTACAGCAGACATGATTGCACTCATTTCACAGAACAGGGTCTGAGGCCTGGAGAGGCTTTGGGTTTGCGCCAAATTCATGACAAAAATATATCTAAATATGCAAATGTGTGGTGCTCTATAGAGGAGTGGTTAGGAACGAAAAGGATCAATCAGCCAGCCAGACCTGGGTTTTAGTCCTGACTGCTGTGTGACCCTGGGCAAGTTGCTTAACCTGTCTGTGGCTGGCTCTCCTCAACTGTACAGTGGTGATAAGCATATCATCTTGGCATTATTGTATATGATAAGTAAAATTACACAGATTCCAGCTACTACAGAGCCTGGCATTAAGTCAGTGCTCCATAAATATTCATCAACATCATCACCATCATCAGCTGTGGGCTGAGGTGCGAGATTGTGGAGGCCTGAGGCCAGCAGGGTGCCAAGGCCCAAGGAGGCTGTGGGGTGGAGGGTTGGACGGCTGTTTCAGAAGAGACAGGGCCCTTGCCATGGGTGGGGAGGGCCTCCCGCTGGCAGATATGACACACAGAAGGCTCCACCTCCCTAACAAACTGGCAGAGAAATGAAAACTGAGGGCATGATTTTAAGTAAACACTCTCCCGGCTCAGAAACGGTGCAGGTGCATTTACATGTCAATCGGTTCCAGGCTCAGAGGTTTGCAGTCAGGAAAGGTGGCTGGGTTGTTGCTGGTTTTGTGGTGGCCTCTTCCGGTCCTTGATCTGATTGAAGAGAGCTGCTCAGCTGGAAGTCCTCAGCTCCGAAGCTTCTAGGGCTCCATGCTCTGTGGTTTGCAGGTGAAAGGAGGTGGGGCCAGGGCATTAGGGGTACAGAGCAGGCCTTTTGGGGACCCATCTACCACATGGCAGCAGGGAGCCCCTTCCCCTTTCCTGGGCGGAGTGGACGGTTGCCTAGTGGTTTCATGTCTTCATTTGGCCTCGGCTGTCATGGGACAGCCTACGGGGGTCCCACAGCAGTCATGGGGCCCCTCCGTCTTTGCCACCCAGCTCTTGGTGGGGAATTGTCTTGGGTGAATTGGGTGACCCATCGTGACTCTTTTTCCATTGCTCTCTCAGTGAGGGATGGGGAGAGGTTGGAGGACACCCAGGAACGGGACAGCCATCCCCTGGCCCACCACACTCAGGCCACCACACTGTGCGACAGAATCAGCCCCTGAGATTTTGTTTTTCTCTCGGGAACCCTGTGTTCCCTCGCTGAGCTCCCTGCCGTACTCCATCACCCCCTAGGCCTGTCGGGGTGTCTCAGTTCAACTCAGATAGTAACCCAGGGCTCATGGGCTTTCCCTCGGAGTCCTGAGCTGGGCGACCAGCCTAGAGGGGCTGATCCCCAGTCCAAACCCCTCCATCTACTCAGAAAACTGGAGTAAGATGTATGGTGAGGAGGACCCGGGAACTGAGAGGCCAGTCGGGAGCCAGTTGGTTGGGGGGACTCTGGGATCGCAGTCGGGGATTAGAGGCTGGACCAGGAGTCAGATCCACAGCCAGAACTCTGTGGGCACACGGGTGATCCAACCCATGCACCTGGCCCCCCACTGATCCCTCATCCAGCCAGGCCTTGGTCCAGGCACAGGCCATGTGGACATCTTTGGGGTCTCCATGTCCAGGAGCCCCCATGCTCAGGAATCTCGGGTCCAGGGCCCCTGTGTTCTCCTCAGAAGCCCAGAGCACTCCATCTGTTGCCTCCTTCTGGGGTGGGCTATGGTTTCCTCACAGGCAGGCTCCATTCAGGACTCTGCTGGAGGGCTGCCGGCAGCAGGGAGTTACCTGGGCCACCCCCAGGGACCAGAGTTCCCCTCGTGGGACCTTTCCTCTCTCCCCAGTGAGTTGGAAGCATAGGCGTGGGTGGGGAGGGAGTGGGGGGATGCTTTTGGGGACGTGGACCTCTTATGCCCAGGAATCCCACTGCCTGGGCCGAGTATCTCCTTCCAGGACAGACTTCTCCCTCCCCTCTGCCCCTCAAGGGTGGGGTGTCCCCTCTAGATTCAAGCCCACCCCAACAGGAGGACCCAGTGTCCTGGAGAGGGCCCAGGAATGGAGGAATTCTACAGGCGAGCGCTTGGTGCTGCACCAGCTGAAGACGCGAGCCGCCGGTTCTGGGTCTGCCAGCCCTACTGCTCCAGGGGCTATGGCTGCAGCAGACACGCCCCATGCCCCTTTCTCCCCGAAAGCCCCTCCATTCCCACAGAGCCCACCTGTTCAAGCTAAGCCCCCACCCTGACACTCACCACCACTAACTGTTTTCTCTCTCGCAGGAGAGGGGTCTGCCCTGGGTCGAAACCATCCTTCCAGAGGGGTCTCCCTTAGAAACTCCGAGGCCAAGATTAGCCATGAGGATAAAACCCAGAGATCAGACACAGAGACCCTGGGTCAGGCCTTTGGCCACATGGCCTGGCAGCCTCACCTTGCCGAGTCACAGAGAGGCAGAGCCCCAAGCGAGCCTGGGGAGTCCTGAACCGGCCTGGGTTCCGGCCCTGCCCCATCCCCATTGCTTCTCACCACCTCTCCCCACCACTCTCCCCTCCCTGGCCCAGGGGGTCCCTGGGAGTCCGGGAAAGCGCCCTGGATCATCCAGCTCCTCCCAGGGCTGGGATGCCCACTGCCGAGAGAGCACTCAGAAGCCGCCCGTTGGCTTTGAGGACTTTTATCGCCCAAGGTCCCGAGGTCTGGGTGGGACCGCAAGGGGTTGCCCCTGTCCCCAGAGCTGCGCCCGGCCATCCCGGTGGGAGGGCTCGGCTGGAAGAAGTTGACCACCTTGTGGAGCGACTGCACTCGTGCGCTGTGGGCCTCCCAGTCCGAGAAGCTGCGGAAGTCGCCACTCTCCACCACGTACATGCGGCCGTGGTAGTTGGGCTCCTCATACAGGACCCACCTGGAGGCCAGGGGAGTGGGGATCAGGGGCTGCCAGGAAGTCCCCCGGGACTCCGGAGAGAAAAGCCTGCACAGCCTGGCCACCCAGCAACCCCTCCCGGTCGAGCGGCCCCTTCACTCTGGGCTACACGAAGGCACCCACGGTGCCTTCCCCAGTGCCCTGTGGGGTCCATGCTGGGGTGTGACATGTGTGGGGACAGGCCCAGTAATGTCCACATTTTAAAACTGACCAGTCCTGGCCGGGCATGGGGGCTCACGCCTGTAATCTCAGAATTTTGGGAGGCCGAGGCAGGCAGATCTCTTGTAGTCAGGAGTTTGAGAGCAGCCCGGCCAACGTGGTGAAACCCCGTCTCTACTAAAAATACAAAAATTAGCTGGGTGTGGTGGTGGGCACCTGTAATCCCAGCTACTTGGGAGACTGAGGCAAGATAATTGCTTGAACCAGGGAGGCGGAGGTTGCAGTGAGCCGAGATTGCGCCACTGCATTTCAGCCATCCTTGGCAAGGATGCACTCCCGCCATCACTGCACGCCCCACACACTCCTGTTCCCTGATAAGGACCACCTTGCACAGACAGTACCCCCAGCACCTGGTGGGGGGCCTGGCACAGAGGGCACCGTTCATTCAGTGAATGCCAGCAGGTTCCCACATGTGTGCCCAACACTGTGTCAGGTACCAGAGGTGCCATGGTCACACAACACGGTTCCTGCCCCCTCCTGCCCTCACGGGGCCTCCCCTGCAGAGGAAATGGGCTGTGGGGGTGCAGTTGCATGGAGGAGCCTGCAGGGCACAGAGGAGGGTTGGGGAGTCCCAAGCAGGGCCCCTTCCTGTCCTCCTCCCCTTCTGCACACCACTGGGGCAGCCACCAACAACCCAGAGAGCAGAAACAGTCAGGACAAGTCTTTACAGAGCCTGGAGGACCTCGGGCTGGTGGGGGCAGGAGAGAACACAGCTCTTCATCACCCAGGAAGCTGTGGGCCCGGCCCAGAAAAGCAGGAAGGTGCGGTGGGGAGGGAACGGGGGACCAGGAGGAAGGGACTGGAGGTCCAGGATAGTGGCCTTTGCCTGGAAAGGGGCATGTGGTCCAAGGAAGACACCTCAGGACAGCTCGGAGCAGGGGCTGGCCCAACCCTGTCCTTCCCTCACCATCTCTGAGACGAGTGAGGCTTGTCATGCCTGGTGCCTGGCACAGTCTGCTGCCTCAAGGGTTGGGGCCAGGAAGGAAGAGAGAGAGGCAGAGGGTGTGAGCCAGCCTGGAGCACCTGCTGGGGGACTCAGGGCAGGCCTGGTCCAGCCTGGACCCCACCCTCATGGCCCCCGTATCCATGCCCCTCCACACCTACAGCTTTCCAACCCCACACCTGTGCCACAGCTGGGGCCTCAGAGGCACCTCAGAGAGTCAGCTGGTCCTTTCCTACCCTGTGGTGGGCAAGAAATGCCCCAAGCCATGTCCTGGGCCACATGAGGGTTCTCACATGGACACCCCCAAAAGGAGGGGGCGGGGAACCACCCATCCTGCTGTCCCCTGTCCTGGCTGTGGCTACTGGGAGGAGGCAGACAGAGGAAAGGGCAGGGGCCTGTCCTGCCCACATCAGCACCGTGCCCTTCCCCAGGTGAGGGTAGGTGGAGGCAGAACGCCAGTGCATTTCCCTCCGAGAGCCCACCAGGACACGGGTCTGAGGGGATGGGTCATGCCTGGGCTGATGTGGGACCCAGAGGGAAGGAGTCTTGGCAGTGGGAGGTGGTGGAGGGACCCTGCCTTGCCCACTCCCCCGACCCCAGGAAAGGCCTCCTAGCAGTGTCCCCTCCGGATCGAGGGGACCTGGGGGCGTTACCTCCTTGACAAGGGCTTACATTTGTGTAAGAGTAAGAGTCTTAGGCGGCAAAGGCTGAGCTCCTGGGTCCCCCACCTGGGGTCCCGATGGCTGGCTCCTCTCAGGGACAGTGGGGATTGTGTGCCCCTCAGTCAGAGAAATGTTAGCCTCCACCTTCCCCACCTTCGTTCTCAACAAGCCCCTGAGCGTTGGGGGTGGGCCGGGGGGATTGTGTCTAGGGCCTCAGGACATCCTCCACGCAAAGGCATGACTTGGGCCTTACAAGACACAATTTAGCCAGCAAGTTTTCCAGGGCAAATTCTTGTTTTGGAATGCCACCCCTGGGCTCCAGGTGCCACCAATTTAGGGCAAAATGCAATTTCGTAAAACGGAATCCTGGAGCCAGCTAGAGTGACAGAAACAGCAGGAAGGGGGCCAACATCAGGCCACCGGGGAAAGGTGGGATGTACACAGTCCCTCCCTATCCCTGGGAACTGGTTCCAGGACCTCCCTTGGATATCAAAATCCGAGGATGCTCAAGTTCCTGATATAAAATGGCACTGTATTTGCATATAACCCATGTGTATCCTCCCATATATAGTAAGTCCTCACTTAACACCGTCAGTAAGTTCTTGGGAACCGTGGCTTTAAGCACATGATATATAACAAAGCCATTTCTCCCCTCATCAATTTTATAATGAATCCACATTGAACAAGATGACATATTTGAGGACCTGCCATACATTGTTTCACTTAAAGTCACAGTTTCCAAGAACCTATCCACAATGTTAAGTGAGGACTTACTGGACTCGAAATCATCTCCAGATTACTTATGATACCTAATCCAACATAAACGCTATGTAAATAGTTGTACAGTATCTTTCAGGGAATAATGTACATATTCAGCATAGACACAATTGTGGGGGGATATTTTCGCTGTGCGGTTGGAGCCCATGGACATGGGGTACCACCTGTGCCCAGCTCTGCCTCGGCCCAGTCTCTGTCTCCCTGCAGTCCCTCTGCCCCCTGCATCCCCTCCGAAGCTCCCTGGCCTTGAACCTCTGTAGTATAGACGGCAAATTGTTCCTCAATTGCTTCGATAGGCGCCAGAACCATGCACAGCCAGCTGGAACCTGTGTGAGGGGCTCTTGGCCTGAGGGGAGGGGACTGAGGCCTGGGAAAGCGGCTAGCTCTGGAACAGGGACAGACACAGGCTTGGCTGCAGTCTCAGCTGTGCCACTCCCACGGGGCGGCCGGGCAGTCAGCCTTCTGAGTCTCAGCTTGCCCTTTGTAGAACGGGGGCGATAATATCTACCTGACCTAGAGGTGTGGGCTGGACAATGAAAATACATGGCCAACTTGAAGGTGCTCAGAGGATAGTTGCAAAAGGGGAGTGTGCGGGAGGGCAGGAGGGGGCACACAGGCTGCCCTTGGTTGACCAGGAGGAAACCCAAGTGTGGGGCAGACAAACCCATCTGGGCCTGGGCAAAATTCCCCCAGCTACTTTCTGTCCAGGAGTGAGCCACCCCGAAGTCCATCTCCTCCCAGAGGCCAGGGTGGTGGGGGTTTGCAGAGAGGCCCGGTTCAGGGGTCAGCTCTGCGGGGTAGGCGCGGGGGCAGGGTGGGCTGGTCCACCCTTCTCAGAGCAAGTGAGCCCACTGTGGCTTTTCCAGCCCATAAGGCCCTGGAGGACCCCTTGGTAAGCAGGTGTCCCCCGGTTCAAGAAAACCAAAGGCGGCCCCTTGTATCAGATCAATCGCAGAGAACCGTGCAACTTTCAAGGTACTCTCCTACCTCTGCTCCTGGACTGAGGCCCTAGAGGGAAGGTCTCAGGGTGCCTCTGGGGCCCAGAGTCCCTCTCTGAGGCCCTTCTGGGCCACAGGGGAAGCTCCCCGCTGCTTGACTGGGGCAGGTGAGGCAGCTGAGGAAAGGAGAGGGCCTGTGGGGCCAGGGACACGCTGCCCACTGCTGGAGGTCTCATTCCCACCCCACCCACCACCCCTGTGTGGCGGGCAGCCTCCCACGCCTGGTGCTGAAGGGCCTAGCCGGGCCTCGGGGTGCGGCCACGTGGCCTGTACTCACGCTCCGTCCCCGTACACCTTGATGGTGTTCACACAGTTCTTGACCCAGCCCCTGCTCTGGAGGAAGGGGCTGTCCTCCAGGAACTCCAGGCACTGGCCCGTGAAGTTGCAACCCTCGAAGATTTCTAGGCGGAAATGTTCTCCGTGCTCCAAGACCAAGCAAAAAAGAAGGAAAGAAGGAGGTTGCTGTGAATTCCCCTCTCCCAGAAACAGAAGCCCCATGCAGGAAGGAATTAGGAGGTACCCAAGGCACTGGGCACCCCCACCCCACACACTTCAACCCCACACTTCTGTTTGTTCTTCCACATGAGATGTGGTTGGAAGAAAGGGTTCTATTACTCTGAAAATGTTCCAAGCCACTGAGCTGGTCCAAGCTCCTCTTTCTACAACTAGAAAATCTGAGGTCCAAAGAGGGCCAAACTGACCAGAGGCCAGCGGTCACACTCAGACCAGGGCTGGGGTCACGGGGCTCCCTCTGGGTGCTCAGCGTGGGGGACTCCGGCCCTGATCACAGCCACACACTCCGGGTTCTGACTTCCCCACCCCTGGGCCACAGCCCATGGGCAAGCCTTCAAATGATAACATTTTAAAACTGTAATAGAACCTTTTAGTAAAACATAAAGCCAAAAATCTAAAACAAATACCAGATCTCATGTGCTGAAACCCCTGCTGGCCTTGACATCATTGTCCCCTAGGCTCAGCACATCTCCCTATATGATTCCCGCATTTCCAAAAGACAGAGGAGGGCCAGCCCCTGCCTGGCTCAGAAGCCGGCAGGGCCTGGTCTGCGTCACAGCTGGCCCCAGGCTAGCTCTTAGGAGAACAGCAGTTCGCAAGATACCAAGGATGTTTTTCATATAAATAGCATTATGCAGGGTCCAGGGCCAACCATTTAAATTTCTTTTTTCCAAATGGACCACAGCCTGGAAGAAATACTAAGGAAGCATTCTTACAATTTGAGATGCCAAAGCCCAGCTGGTTTTGCAACTGATACAGAAAAGAGAGGGGGCACCACACAAAGGCCCCTTTACTGGGGTTCCTCAGATGTTCACCAGAACCACCCAGCCCAGGCGTCGGGGGAGGGTCCTCAGCAGACATAAGCGAGACGCTCTGTGATGAGAGATGCACGCCCCCAGGCTCAGGAGTCCGCCACTCCCCACCTGAAGCTCCAGAGCTCACAGCAGGTCAGTGAGTACCCATGACCTGGGGGAACGGCCTTGCTTAAATCCCACCCTAGGAGCAGCTGGACCGAAACAGTCTTTCGCCACCGGGGAGCCATGCCCCTCGTCTGCCCTCCCTGCACACACCTCTTGGGCGGCAGCTACCTGTGTAATTCCAAGGGACCTGCCCCCCAATTTTCCCCTGACAGGCGGGTGATTCTTCAGCTTCCTCCATCAGCCATTCCAAGACATGGAAGGCTCCAGAATGTGCCACAAGACCACCTGTACTAGTGGCCACACTAGGCCCAAATCAGCCTCCCATTGGCGGAGTGTCCCCTATCTGGCTGGAAATCTAAATTTGGATGATTTCAACAGCATTTTAAATGGAAAATGCAGCTAGATTTTTGGCTCCGAAACTTAAAGTGGTTTATTGATACCTGTATGAAAACTCAGGGCCACTCCCACTCAGTTCATAGCAACTTGGCCCCCCACCTACTCACCTCATGCCAGCAGGTGGCTCTGGGTATAGCTCCTTCAGTCTTACAGACTTTAAAGCCGGGAGGACCACGCTCCCCGATTCCTTGCCACTGTCTGCCAGGGCTGACCCTCGGTCCCTCCAGCAGGAAGACTCAGCCTTCGGTGGACGGGCCCACTCACCATTCCTACAGGCCGACAGGAGCCCATGTGGTCACTGTGGCTGTTCCAGCGGAAGAAGTCGGGGTAGTCGCCGTGCTCCAAGATGAACTGCTGGCCCCGGAAGTCGGGGTGATTGAAGCAGACCCAGGCTCCGCTCTCCACGTGGATGGAGTTCACTCGGTTCATAAAGCCCCGGTCCTGGAAGTTGTCACAGTCCCCGAAGACCTCCAGCTTCTGCCCTGTGAAGTGCTTGCCTTCATAGAGAGTGATCTAGAAAGGGCAGGTTACAGAGCTCAGGGTCAGGGGCTTCTCTCCGTCAGCGTTGGAGGCTGGCGTCTGGGTCCCAACACCCTGGATGGAACCCCTACTCCCAGGCCCCCAAAAGCCCAGACCTGCTGCACACAGTAGGTGCCCAACACTATTTGCCAATTGGGCAAAAGAACGAACAGCTGGCAGGCTGATGCCATACACAGCTACTGTTCCTCCCCACCCTTAGGAGCTCACAGTGGGGCAGACAAATTTCAGCAGCGATTTGGGGACAGGGGTTTCCCCTTTGTCTAGGTGCCCATTTCAAAATGGGCTGTTTTCAACTTCCACTGCATTTTTAACTCATTTTTTAATTATTAAAACATAAAGCCGATAATAACATTAAAGGAGGTGTTTTCAAAAGAAGAAATTTCACCCACAACCCTCTCATGGTAACCCAGCATATATTTTGCAGAAATTCGGGTTCCTGGGATTGGGCCTCCTTCACTGGAGAGGCTGAATGGGCCGAAGCCGCGTCAGGGCCTGGCTCGGGATTAATGTTCGCAAAAGAGGGCTTATAAGTGCCACCCTGTCTCTCTGTGTTTTGTAGGTCACTCCTTTGGGTAGCAGGCATGTATCAGATCTGGAGCTCCATCACCCTGCTGGGAGTTCAGACATCGTGTCTTATAGCTACGTGGCACTCACAGGTTGTCCTTGTCCCGAAACAAAACAAAGTGAAGCAATAACAACCCGCCAGACTCATTTCCTGCTGTGGAACCTAAAATCTCAACCATTTAGTAACTCTTTGGGTTTCAAGAACTGTGGCCCTAGAAGGGTCCTGCCAGAGTGCAGTGATGTTCCCCATCACTATGGTCGCTTGTGCCTCACCAGTGTCTCCAGTTCGCTCAAAAGAACACGAGAATTGCCCTTCCAGGCCCCTTGGAGTCAGGCGTGGCCACATGCGTTCACCGGAAAGGAGGCAGACACCTTGGCGTTCTGCACCCCAGAGTTACTGGGGCCCTTTGTTACTGAAGCATCACCTGGCCCATGCAGACTGATACAGCAACACAGTCACCCCCAGACACTCTGGAATGTGGCCTTGGAGACCAAAGGCTTCATGGGAGTGGCTAGGCTAGGGGCACTGGAGAGGGCGAGGGAGAGCCAGGTCTCCCGTCCTTCCTGCACCAGGCACGGCTGGTAGAGGGCCCCTGAAACCTTCAGGGAGGTCTGGGCACCAAAGGGATTCGGGGCTCCCTCAAATCTCAACATTTTTCAGAGAACCAGCCCTAAGTGTCCCTGAAGAGACCCTGGGAAGGAAAAGCCATAGAGGCCAGCCTTGGGCAAAGAAGCCGCAGCAGTGGGGCGGAGGGCTGTGGGACAAGCCAAGCCTCCCCCACCCCAAGGAAGCCCCAGGGAGTCTGAACACCCTCCCTGCTCCTGACTGCAGGGCGAGGGGTTGGAATCCCAGAAGGAAGGAGTGGAGATGGAGACCTTCCTATCCATCCACACCAGAGAGGCCCCAGGCCAGTAGCGAGGCCACCCCATTTTATTAAGAAATTAAACCAGCTTCCCTTGGATTTGTCACCATCAACAGTGTGCACCCTCCTGCATCCCCTAGCACAGGGGGCGAAGGCGGAGCCCCACTCGGTTTCCTTGGGGTTGAGGGACGCACTCACCTTCCCCGAGCGCTGCGCCATGGTGCGCCCCGCCCCTTCCGCGGGTCCCCGTTTACACCGGGCAGCGCCCTGCTGGCTCAGCGCCGCCCCGGACAAAAGATTTGCTGGGCCGGCCCCGGAGCGTTAGTGCTGTCGGGCGTGCTAAGCCCGAGGGGCCACCAGGCGGTTGGGACCCGCCGCGGCCACCCTGTGCCACCGCGAGTGCAGCCCGCCCTGCCCGGGGTCTCCCTGTGCTCTCCGCGTTTAGCTCCCGAGCCTCCTTCCTCCCTGAGCCCTCCCGCCCAGCCCGCGGCTGCCCCTGCCCTGCCCTGGAGTGGTGGGGGGAGGAGGGGAGGTGTCTCTCTAGCCCTCCAACCTTTCTTCCCCTGCGCTGCCCCTCAGCCCTCACGCCCATCTCCCTCCCTCCCAAGGCCTGTTCCGAGCTCCCCAGCCCACTCCCCTTTCTCACCTGGCTGCAGGTAGTCTCGCCTTGGTGCCAACTTGTTTGTCTCCACGAGGATGCAACCCAAGCTTCCCCGGACAGACAGACAGCCCTTGACCGCCCCTCCCCTGGCTGCTCTGGTCTGAGCTCCCAGGTCCCCACCTTAGACCTCCGGCTCCAACTCACCCAGCTCCTGATGCACCCCCCCACACCCCACAAAACGCCAGGCCAGGTCAGGCCTCCCTCCTCCCGCTCTCTTCCTGCCTGCCTCCCTCCCTGGCACTCTCCCTCCCTGGGTCCCTCTCTCCTTGAAGATCCTGCCTAGGGTGACCAGGTGACCCGCGCTGCCCTGAGCTGGGGGTACAGTGCTCTGCCCCTTGCCTCTCTGCTGCACCAACTAAGCCACCCTGGACGCCCAGGATCAGTTTACAGCACAAAGCAGCCCCACCGCGGAGGGAGAGTTCCCCAGGGCCCAGAACGAGCACTTGGCAGACAGCAGAGGCTCAGAGATTGTGGAGTGAGCAGAGCGAACATGGAGCCCACAGGATGTGCAGCCCCCACACGGCTGGGGAGATGAGCTGGGAACACAGGACTCATGACTCAGATGGCTGGGGTGGTGGGGGACAGGCTCTGAGATCAAAGGAGAGAGGGGCAGGTGCTCCACAGGGGCTTCTGCTGGAGGGGAGGGAGGAGCTTTGGGGAGGAGTTTGGGCTGCTCTTCCTTCAAACAGTATATTTTTATGACCATTTCACAGATGAGACACTGAGGCCCAGGAAGAGGAGGTTATGTGATTCTTGGGGCAGAGGGGTGACCTTGCCTCTGCTGTGGGAGGTTTTCAAAAGTAGACAGGGTACAAACCAGAACCTGCATGTCACCCTTGAACCCAGGGACGGTCCTCCCTAGGGACGCCCCTCCCTAGGGACGCCGCCCAGCTGCCTCCACTGGCGCCCTTACTTGCCAAGCCACACATTCCAATGTTTCTCTCTGGACCTGGGCCCTGGTGGGGACATAAAATTAAAAACAAAATCTCCAGCCAACCCAGAAAACTTCTCCACGAAGGTAGAAGGAAAAAAAAACAATTTTATTATTGAATAAACTTTAAACTGGAATGCGATCTGCATCACGATCTCTCCCCTAAGAGATCGCAAAGATGGAGAGAGATCTCACTCTTCTGTAGCCAAGCAGACACAACCCACTGCATTCATGTTTTCAGGATAAAATTGCTGATTTTCTTGTATCTCTATGACTGGAGGTGGGTTTTGCAATTTGGAGTCAGGTGACAGCTGAAGTCAGGCTTCTTAGGAAACGGGGAGGGTGGGGGCACTTACTCCTTGATGTCAAGACTCAAAGAGGCTCCCAGAGGAAACATGACTGAGTTGTTAGACTGGCAAGAGGCTTGTTTAGCCATTAAAAAGATTTACACACATTTGAAAATGACAGAGAAGGAAATTCTGCAAGAAAAGGGAGGAAAGGGAAGCCTCTTCCCTTATTTTCAACAGGGAAAAATAAGCCTTAAAAAAAGGTTTTATTTTTTAGAGCAGCTTTAGGTTCAAGTTGAATTCAGCAAAAGGTACAGCAATTTCCTGTATACCCCCTGCCCCTACACACACACACACACACACACACACACACACACACACACACACAGAGCCTCCTCCACAATCAGCGCCCCCATTAGAGTGGTACATTTGTCACAGCCGATGAACCTATGTTATACATCGGGATACAGGATGAGAAGTTGAGAGAATGCGGCGTAGACTTTGTTAAAATAACACATTTTTAAAGCCTCCCCACATAATGTGGTTGATTTTTCACAGCTTGCTACTCTTTGTCCAGTTGAGTATGTAAGTGTTTGACTCTTAACTTTTTCTTTGGGTCTTCATCTCCTTATAAGGGCTCCCATGCCACATAAAACTTGTATTAAATAAGTTTGTATGCTTTTCTCTTGTTAATCTGTCTTAGGTCAATTTATTTCTCAGGCCCAGCCAGGACCCTAAGAGGATGGAGGTAGAACTTTGCTGCCTCTACAGTGTAATGCCATGGTTCCACCATTAGAGCACCAGGTAGAGTATTCTCACCACCTTAAAAGTCCCCTGTGTGGGCTGGGCACGGCGGCTCACACCTGTAATCCCAGCACTTTGGGAGGCCGGGGCGGGTGGATCACCTAAGGTCAGGAGTTTGAGACCAGCCTGGCCAACAGGGCGAAACCCTGTCTCTACTAAAAATACAAAAACTAGCCAGGCGTGGTGGCAGGCGCCTGTAATCCTAGCTACTCAGGAGGCTGAGGCAGTGAGAATTGCTTGAACCTGGAAGGTGGAGGTTGTAGTGAGCCAAGATTGCGCCACTGCACTCCAGCCTGGACGACAGAGTTAAACTCCGTCTCAAAAAAAAAAAAAAAAAGATAAAAAAAAAAGTCCCCTGGGCTCCATCTGTTTATCCCTCTCTCCCCCTTAACTCCTGGCAACCACTGATCTTTTTACTATCTTCACGGTTTTGCCTTTTTCAGGATGTCATGTATTTGGAATCTTACAGTATGTAGCTACTACGGTTTGAACGTGTCCCCCAAAACACATGTGTTGGAAACTTAATCCCCAATGCAACAATGTTGAAAGATGCGGTCTCATGGGAAGGGTTTAGGTCATGAGGGCTTCACCCTCATTCATGGATTAACGCTGACCATAAAGGGCTACAAGGTCAACCGCTTGCTCTCTCTCACCCTCTCTTTGCCCTTCTCCCATGGGATGATACAGCAAGAAGGCCCTTGAAAGATGCCAGCACCGTGATGTTAGACTTCTCAGCCTCCAGAACTGTGAGCCAGTACATTTGTGTTCATTGTAAATTACCCAGTCTGTGGTATTCTGTTATAGCGGCACAAAACGGACTAAGACAGCAAGTAGCTTTCTCAGATTGGTTTCTTCCACTTAGTAATATGCATTTAAGATTCCCTCATATCTTTTCCTGGCCTAGTCTCTCATTTCTTTTTACTGCTGAATCATGTTCCCTTGTCTGGAAGTACCACAGTTTAGTTATCTATTCATCAATGGAAGGACATTTTGGTTGTGTCCAAGTTTTGGCAATTATGAGGAAAGCTTCTATAAACAACCACGTGTAGATTTTTGTGTGCTCCTTTCACTATACACTAAGGAGTGGGATTGCTGGATCATATGTTACAGGTATGTTTAGTTGTGCAACAAACTGAAAAAAAAATAAAAGCCAGGTGCAGAGGCTTGTACCTGTAATCCCAGCTACTCAGGAGGCTAAGGCAGGAGGATTACTTGAGGCCGGGAGTTCAAGACCAGCTTGGACAACATAGCAAGACCCTGTCTCTAAAAAATTCAAAATCAAATCAAATAAAAAGAAACTGTCAAACTCTCTTTCAAAGTGGCTATATGATTTTTCATTCTGACCATTTGGTGCTATCAAGTTTTGGATTTTAGCCATTCAAATAAGTGTGCAGTGGTGTCTCATTGTTGTTTTAAGAGCTTTTTTTTTTTTTTTTTTTTGAGATGGAGTCTTGCTCTGTCCCCCAGGCAGGAGTGCAGTGATGCGATCTCAGCTCACTGCAATCTCTGCCTCCTAGGTTCAAGCAATTCTCCTGCCTCAGCCTCCCCAGTAGCTGGGACTACAGGTGTGTGCCACCACGCCCAGCTAATTTTTTTTTTTTTTTTTTTTTTTTTTTGGAGATGGAGTCTTGTTCTGTTGCCCAGGCTGGAGTGCAGTGGCGTGATCTCAACTCACTGCAACATCCACCTCCTGGGTTCAAGCGATTCTCCTGCTTCAGCCTCCCGAGTAGCTGGGACTACAGGCACACGCCGCCAAGCCTGGCTAGTTTTTTGTATTTTAGTAGAGATGGGGTTTCACCATGTTGCCCAGGCTGATATCAAACTCCTGAGCTCAGGCAATCCGCCTGCCTTGGCCTCCCAAAGTGCTAGGATTACAGGCGTGAGCCACCGCGCCTGGCCAATTTTTGTATTTTTAGTAGAGATGGGGCTTCACCACGTTGGCCAGGCTGGTCTTGAATGCCTGACCTCAAGTGATCCGCCTGCCTTGGCCTCCCAAAGTGCTGGGATTACAGGTGTGAGCCACTGTGCCCAGCTGAACTTCTTCTTTTTAATTTGTATTTGCCCTCATCACAGCAGGGCCAGAGCACACAGACAACCCAAAAAGGTGATGACAACAGAATCCAAAACAGAAGCAGTGATTTGGGGTGTTTTCTGAGAAATATATATGAAAAAATGCCTAGCTGAAAGCCCCACGCAAAGAATTATTAAAAATGGGTAGATGAATAAGATACCTGCAAATTTCACCTCCATTCCCTATTTCTAATGCAATATCTCAATTCCCACCTGGGATTTTATTATAATTCAGTTACCAGAGGAGGAGTCTGCTAAGATTCATATTATCTATTTGTGGCCAGGTAGAACCCCTCCCCAAAATAGCTACATAATATGCAAATGCCAGTATCACCAAACCTCAACATCAGAGTCATTTTTTTGAGTCATCTTTGGTAGAGCACTGTTAAAATGTACCTTGAGGTAGGTGAGATCTTGAGTCACTATACAGCTGCTAGTTGGGGACAAAATTCTAAGGAAATGGACTGAGAATAAATATCGTGACAGCACAGAAGAAGCAAGGCTAAGAATGCTATCATGGCTTAAAAAATAAAATCTCAATAACATGTAGCCTTAGAACTACCAGTAGCTGCTCAGCATTGGAGAGTTTTACAGCGTGGAGGCTAATGGTTTTAATAATAAATCACCCTGAGCCATCACCCGTTTGCCTGCCTCCCTTCTCTGCCTCTTGTCTCTCCCGTTTTTGGGTAATTTAGAGCACAGAGAAGAATAGGAAATAATATAAGGAACAATAACACCACCATACAAAGTTTGTCAAATCTTAGCATTTTGCCAGGTTTATGTCGGATCAATGTTTTTCCTTAAAATAAGAAATCATTATACATAGAATTGAAGGCTTCCTTCCCCATAAGGATAAGATACTGTCCTGATTTTTGTGTTATGTCTTTGTGTGTTTTCATCTTTTTACTTTCTTTGTATGTATCTGTAAATAATAGAAAATTTTTAGTGTGGCTACATTATATGTAGCCTTCTGCAATTTGGTTTTTTGTTTTAGTGACAAGAGTTTCTGAAATGGTGAATGAACAAAGCTCAGTAGAATTCCTCAGAAAACTAAGTAAAATCTTCCATTTATATATCTAATAAATTGCATACCAGGAAATCTTCAGTATATATTAAAGCCACACAAAAAATACTATGCGTTTCTAGGGGAAATTGTGGGACAGTGTCTCCTTGGATGTGGTGGGATATCCAGCATCCTGGGGCCTGCCCACCCATCCTCCAGCATTCTGACAAACAGAAACACCCTACAAAATTCCAACCACACCCTGGGACCAATACTGCCTCCTTTGAGGCCCATGCCTCTGGGTGAAATTGCTGGGTTGAAGCATGAGTTCACCTTCAAGCCACTAGATGCCACAGAGGTCTTCCAAATTGCCCCACTGACATACAGATGAGATCTACCCTTGGTAGTTCCAAGGCCAGTTGCTCAACATCAGTTCAAATGTATAGCGTTCATTTGAATTGGATCTTTTGTAAATTGCTTGTTCATATGCTTTGCTCATTTTTTTCTGTCTTTCCTTATTGATTATGTGTGTGTGCCTGTGTGTGTGCAAGTGTTTCTTTGTTTTAGAGACAGAGTTTCACTCTGTCACCCAGGCCAGAGTGCAGTGCCACGATCATAGCTCAATGCAGCCCCAAACAACTGGGCTAAGGCATCCTCCTGCTTCAGCCTCCCTTGTAGCTGGGACTAAAGGCACACGCCCACACCCAGCTAGGTTTTTAAAATTTTTTGTAGAGACGGGGTCTCACTATGTTGCCCATGCTGGTCCCGAGTTCCTGGCCTCAAGGGATCCTCCTGCCTTGGCCTCCTAAAGTGCTGGGATTACAGGCATGAGGCACCATGCCTGGCTGTGTGTGTTTTAACTTGCTATCTATTCTTTTGCTGTGTGTGTGTGTGTGAGTCCGCTATCTGTTCCTTTGCTGTTGTCTATTCCTTGTTGTGTGGGTTCATTTTAGACTTTTCCCAGTTTGTTGCTACTCCCAAACCTGCCCTAATTCAATACAAAGTCATGTGAGTGGGCAATGAGGCCCTTCCAGCCCTTCACTCTGGAGCTCTGGGTGTGTGTGACAGGCTGAGGGGAGGCACTTTCCCAGTAGCCCCCTGCCTCCAGCGTCATCCTAATGCTCTTGGGAGCAGAGTGGTCCTGGGGCTTGGGAGAGGCCATCCTGGGTAGCGTTTGAGAGACAGGACTCAGGACTCCCCTCCAAATTGAGGCTGTATGTGACACCACTGTGTGAGACCCCCAGGTTCTGCCCCCTTCCCCACTTCCTTCTCCATGCCCACTCCCAGCTCCAGCCACTGTCAGTACCAGTGGAACTGCTGCAGGAGCCTCTCAGCATCCCAGTCTGTCTGCTCTGGGCTCCTCCAGACCGTTCTCCACCCACAGCAAGAGCGGCTCCTTTCCCTATATATATATTATGAGTCATTTCAGGCAGCAAATCTACCTTCCAGTTTAAGAAATAAGACATTACAGGCCAGGCAAGGTGGTTCATGCCTGTAATCCCAGTGCTTTGGGAGGCCAAGGAGGAAAGATTGCTTGAGCCCAGGAGTTTGAAATCAGCCTGGGCAACAACGCAAGATCCTGTCTCTACAAAAAAATTAAAAAATTAGCCGGGCATGGTGGCACATGCCTGTGGTCCCAGCTACTAGGGAGGCTGAGGTGGGATGATTGCTTGAGCCCAGGAGGTCGAGGCCGCAGTGAGCCAAGATTGCACCACTGCAGTACAGCCTGGGCAACAGAGAAAGATCCTGTCTCAAAAAAAAAAAAAAAAAAAAAAAAAAAAAAAAGACAAGACATTACAAATGGGGGGCTCCTAGGTGCTCTAATGTGAATACTCACTTAAAACCTATAATGTGATCCTACCTAAAATTGCTCAATGGCTTCCCATGGCCCTTCAAGTGAAGCAGGGACCAGGACACGCAGGACCCTGAGATCAGGCCTCCTGAGATGTTGCACCCATCCTGGGGTGCGGTCCCAACACCTGAGCTGAGCTTCCCAGGGCTCAAGGACCTGGTCTCGCTGCCCGCGCCTCCCCCCAGCCCCACTCCCCAACCTCTCTCGCCAGCGGGTACCATCGCATCTGTGTGGGCGAGGCGCTCAGCGCTAGAGCTGTGGACACCAAGGAGGAGGCGCTCAAAAGATGTTTACAAACGGGCTGGGCGCGCTGGCTCACACCTGTAATCCTAGCACTTTGGGAGGCCGAGGCAGGAGGATTGCTTGAGCCCAGGAGTTCGAGACCAGCTTGGGAAACACGGTAAGACCTTGTCTCTACTTAAATTATATATATATATATATACACACACACATACATATACATGAGAGAGAGAGAGACCGGGTGAGGTGGCTCACGCCTGTAATCCCAGCACTTTGAGAGGCCGAGGCGGGCGGATCACCTGAGGTCAGGAGTTTGAAACCAGCCTGGCCAACATGATGAAACCCCGTCTCTACTAAAAATACAAAAATTAGCTGGGCGTGGGGGCAGTCACCTGTAGTGGCAGCTACTCGGAAGGCTGAGGCAGGAGAATCGCTTGAACCCGGGAGGCAGAGGTTGCAGTGAGCTGCGGAGGTTGCAGATCGCGCCACTGCACTCCAGCCTGGGCGACGACAAAGCGAGACTCCGTCTCAATATATATATTTATTAAAGATATTTATAAACGAACAAAAAGTTGGAAACACTTTGCATACCAAAGCTCAGGCGTGGGCGAGAGCGGGGAGACTAGACTCCGTCCGCGGTCCAGGGCTGCATGGGGCAGCGATGCCCGCTCTGCCCAACGCTCCGCTAGCGAAGCGCAGTTCGTGGTCGCCAGGCCTGCAGCTCCCGCCTGGGCTCCGCGCTTCCGCACCGGGCTGCGGGTTCCTCTCTCCGCCTCCTGCGCCGGGTCAGCCCCGGAGGACACTGATGAGTGCGTGAATGAGTAAGGGAATAAATGCGCGAAGGCCAGCACCGCCAGGCTGCAGCGCCGGCCGAGGGCCCCAGCGGAGCTCGGCGGGGGTGCGGGGCGGTTCCAGGAGCCTCGCCCCCTGCTGGGGACCCAGCTTGTGCCCTGGCGTCGTGGCCGCCGGCAGGCAGCAAGGAAGGGGGTGTAAAGAGCCCGGTTAGGCTGAGTCCCTGCCCTTCCGAGGGAGCCCGTCTGCGAGTGAGCCCGTCTGCAAGTGAGCCCGTCTGCAAGTGAGCTGGGCCTGGGCCTCTGCAGGGGTCGCCCCGCCAGCCCGGGCCCCCTGGCTGCGCCCCGTTTCCAGCCGGCGTCAGGGAGGGGGCTGCAGTGCTCCGGGGGTCATCGGATTCGGGCGGGGAAGGAAAGGCGGGACGTCTGCGCCCCAGAAGACAGTCCCCGGGTCTCCCACCCTGAAAGCCAGCGAGGTTCGGGTAAATGAAAGTTGCTGAAGCCTGACCCCTCGTGGTGGGCACAATCACCACACGCCCCAGGGCGGCCGCGGGAGGATTTAGAATTAGAATTATTATTGCCGTTATATTTGTTTAGAGATGGGCTCTCCCTATGTTGCCCAGGCTGGTCTTGAATTTCTGGACTGAAGCGATCCTCCTGCCTCAGCCTCCCGAGTAGTCGGGACTACAGGCGGGTGCCACCACATCTGCTTAGAATTATAATAAATTCGAATTCTCATAGTGCTTACTTATAGCCAGCACCAACTAAAGCTTAACATATATTAAGTCATTTAATTCTCTCAACAATCCTAGGAGGTGGGTTCTGTCATGATCCCCATCTTAGAGTTGTGGGGAGTGAGGCCCAGCCTGCATGAGTAGCTTGCACAAGGTCACAGGGTCACACAGCAAGCAGGCAGTGAAGCTGGGATTCGAATCCAGAATTGGTGCCCTTAACCTCTACAGAGAATTATAACGCACACGTTTCCTCACCTTTGTGCAGTTCTAAAAGCACACCAGCTTTATCTATTCATATTCTTACTTTATTTTATTTTATTTGAAACAGAGTCTCACTCTGTTGCCCAGGCTGGAGTGCAGTGGCGCGATTTCAGCTCACTGCCTCCTGGGTTCAAGCAATTCTCCTGCCTCAGGCTCCCGAGTAGCTAGGACTACAGGTGTGAGCCACCACACCCGGCTAATTTTTGTGTTATTAGTAGGGACGGGGTTTCACCATGTTGCCCAGGCTGGTCTCGAACACCTGACATCGTGATTCGCCCCCCCTCAGCCTCCCAAAGTGCTGGGATTACAGGTGTGAGCCACCGTGCCTGGCCTCATGTTCTTATTTTAGATCTCACTTCACTTCCTTCTTCCTCACCTAAGTCATCAACACATCCTGATCGAATGACTCAAAGGCTGAAAATATGCTCATCCTTTAAAAGCTACCCATCAAAGTGCAAATTAAAAGCACAATGAGACATCACAAGTGTCGCTGAGGGTGCTGAGCAAGTGGGACTCTCACTCACTGCTGGGGGGTGTGTGAAATGGTACAGTTACTTTAGTTTTTTATAAAGTCAAGATACGCTTACCATGTTAACTGACAATTCCACTCTTGGTGTTTACCTAACAGAAGTAAAAACATAGACCCCCAGCTTTGCACATGTTATAGCAGCTTTATTCATCACAACCCCAGCCTGGACGCAGTCCAGGCATCCACCAATGGTCGAATGATAACTACATCGTAGTTCATCCATACAACTGAATGCCACTCAGCAGTAAAAAGGAACAAACCCTCGATACACGCAATGGCATGAATAAATCCCAGAAACATCCGCTGAGCCTAGGAAGCCAGACGCAGAAGCCTGCACGCTGGGTGGCTCTGTGTGTATGAGACTCTGGACAAGATACAGGGCTCTTTGGTGCCAGACAGCACACCAGCGGCCTCCTGGTCCAAAGCTGGTGGTGGCAGAGATGGTGATTTTCAGACACAGCACAAGGGAATTTTTTGGGGTGATAGAAAGTTCTATATTTTGATTGTGGTGGTAGGCACACAGGTGGATACGTTTGTCAAAACTCATCAAAGTTTACACTTAAAATGATTGAATACAGTAATCTCAGAACTTTGGGAGGCTGAGGCAGGCAGATCACCTGAGGTCAGGAGTTCGAGACCAGCCTGGCCAACATGGGGAAACCCTGTCTCTACCAAAAAGTATAAAAAATTAGTCGGGTGTGGTGGCGTGCGCTTGTAATCCCAGCTACTTGGGAGACTGAGGCAGAAGAATCGCTTGAACCCGGGAGGCAGAGGTTGCAGTGAGCCAAGATTGTGCCACTGCACTCTAGCCTGGGCGACAGAGTGAGACTCCGTCAAAAAAAAAAGTGAACACATTTATAGCACAATCTGACAAGACTTTAAGACAAGAATTTGGGGTGTTCAGAGAGATAAGCAAAGCGGTCATCTAAAAAGGACAAGAAAGCCAGGCGCAGGGACTCACAGCTGAAATCCCAGAGATAGACTCCATCTAAAAAAAAAAAAAAAGAAAGTATAGTTCTCCGATATTTCTTTTACTCTTGAAGCAAAGAAGAGCTCTCTCCCGCCAAGTTGATATTACAATCCATAGTTTTAATTTTCCTTTTTGCAAGAACACATTTGAAAGACTGTAACTAGTTAATAAACTTACCAATACATCTTATCACTAACTGCACTATTGTCTCTGAGATCCTGTACCCTCCACCTGGGTTTCTCTCCTCTTCATGTTGAAGTATGTCTTTCAGTTACTCATTTAGTAGTAGCCTCTGTGTGGTAAACACTCTCAGTCTTTGCTTGTTTGAAATGATTGTAAAGTCTCTTCTGCCACAGTCACAGGTTCCAGGGATTAAGACGTGGACATCTTTGGGGGTCACTATTCTGCTGACCACAGGGAGCAGGAGTGAAGCTTCTGAGCCAGGGGCCCCAAGCCAGGGCTCTTCTCAGCACCAGCTGGGCCTCAGCAGGGAGACAGCCAGTGCTCTCCACCACCAGCCCTCAACTCGCCTCTGCTTCTGCTCCCTTCCTGAGGCTCTGGAAGGTTCCTGGCCACCAGATGAAAGGATGGGCAAAGTGGGGGCTGCACAACAGAGCCAACATGGTGAAACCCCATCTCTACGAAAAATACAAAAGTCAGCTGGGTGTGGTAGCGGGCGCCTGTAATCCCAGCTACTCAGGAGGCTGAGGCAGGAGGATCACTCGAACCCAGGAAGTAGAAGTTGCAGTGAGCAGAGATCATGCCACTGCACTCCAGCCTGAGTGCCATCCCGGGCAGTAAGCCTGTCCCCGCTCTGGTTAGTTGGGAAAGATGTATGTCACCAAGGGGAGGGAGGCCCTGGCCTCACAGGGTAGGAAGGGCCTGCCTGATCCAGCCCAGGGAGGGGGGCTCTGTGCTGCGTCCCCTGCCTCTGTCCCCGTGTGGTCCCAGTGCCGCTGTCCCCCTGGAGCAGGGCTGTCCATCATCCTGAGGTGCCACAAGTCCCTGCTGTGAGGCAGGGGCACCACCCGAAGTCACACTGTCCCCACCAGGGCTCCTGGCCCTGTGTCTCCGTGGCCTGATCTGGGAAAGGTGCACGTGAAATCCCTCCACACAGACCCACCATGAGGGTCAACAGCAAAGTGGGTGTGGGGGCCATGGCATCGCGTTTTGATCTTTTGGTGTTTAATGAATTCTCACTGTTTAATTAGTCTCCACTTTGAAGCTCACAACAAGCCCACCATCTTGGCAGGGTTCTGTGCGGTTAACCCATTTCACAGATGAGCAAGCTCCTCCCAGAGGAGCAGAGGGACTGGTCACCAGGTGAGCGTGGGGTGCTCCTGAGAGCCCACAGCTCAGGCGGCCCGGCACCGGCAGACAGGACAGCTGGCCGCAGTGGCAGGGAACCCCGGAGTCGCCCTGGGCACCCTCAGGCTGGGCTCCTGGGAGGGCTGGAGTGGACTCAGGAGCAGCCAGTGGCCCTGGGAGACAGGGAGCGGGAGGGTGGGAGGAGCAGCTTTGTGCCTGCCAGGGCCTGAGGGAACAACTGCACGACTTTGCCTCTCTTTGCTTTTCCTGATGATGGGGGCAGCCTGGCAGCTGCTGTGTGTCTTCTGCTCTTTGTCACCTCCCGTCGCCCGCTAGGTGTGGGAAGTCATGCAGTCACCTGGGTTTGATTCTTTGCTCCCACTTGTCCCTTCCCCAGGCAGGAGGTCAGCGCCTGTGGCTCCTCTCTGGGTGGTGGATGCAGGTTCTGCTAGCTTCATAAAAGATGACAGGGACTGTCACTTTCTACTCTCTGGGAAGAGTTTGTTCCTTAAAAATTCTGGACGGTCCCAGCCTGATGCCATTCTAGGGTTAGATTTTTGACTTCCAGGTTCCATTTCTGTAACAGGTCTAGTTCTAGCCAGGTGTTCTATTTTTTTCCTGAGTCAATATCGGTAATTTATGCTCTTCTAGTCTACTGATTATTCCATCTAAAATGTCAAACGCATTGGCATAAAGACATCCACGGGGTAAACTGGAACCGTGCGAGCCTGCTTCATCTGCAGCGACGCCCTCTCGCCGTGCTTTCTCATCTGCATCATGAACACACCCCACTCATTGGGGGTGTGTGGAGGGTTGGAGAATGCCCCAAAGGGGCCCAGCTTAGCTCAGGGCCCCCACCTGATGGCACCACCAGCCTTGGCTAGTCCCAGCAACCAGGGAGAGACTTAGACATTTTTGAATATTAAGGAAGGCATTCCAAGGTTCTGGGGGGTGAGGGTGGGAGTGCTGGTCCCTGAGGCGCAGGCTTCTTTCCTGGGCGTAAGGCAGGACTGACTCCAAGAGCAGGGACTGTGCACAGCCAGGCCCTAGGGTACTGACCAAGCAGGGAGCTCCAGGGGCTGCGGCAGCTGGGGTCCACGGTGACCCCCTCAGTGCCCCACTGCAGACGCTACAGTCCCCTCAGCTGTGGTCCCAGGCTGCAGCAGCGTGTGTCCTCATGCTCAGTCTTCCAACCTCAGGACTCTGGTGCACACAGCCTCGCTTGCTTCTCACGTTACAGCCCTCCGGGCTAGAGCCTCATTCCTTCAGGATCTCTGGGTCCATGGCTCTGAACAAGGGAGCCCCGGACAGTTCACTTGGGGCCAAGTGGGGTCCCTGCCCAGCTCACTCCTGGTCTGATTGCCTGCAGCGGG
Source organism: Homo sapiens (assembly GCF_000001405.40). Taxonomy (NCBI): domain Eukaryota; kingdom Metazoa; phylum Chordata; class Mammalia; order Primates; family Hominidae; genus Homo; species Homo sapiens. Next base: position 151,453,513 of record NC_000007.14, read on the forward strand.
GGGCAGGCCACACAGCACGTGGTCCCACACCAGCCAGGGGCGGGGTGGCAAAGCACAACATGGGAGCCTGCCTCCTGACCTAGGCCACTGCGCCTTTGCATCACCATTTGGTCCCGGTGGAGTCCGAGTGGCTCAGGACGAGTCTGAACACTGGGCCAGTGGCAGAGCAAAGGCAGGAGGAGGAGAGAGGAGAGGAGCTCCTATCAGCAGGGATGTGGCTTTCACCGCAGCACCACATGCAGGATGAGATGAGACGTTTGTGGGGTTCACATCAAGAGAGGGTTTTTATTTTTTATTATTTTAACTTTTTTTGAGACAGGGTCTCGCTTTGTCACCCAGGCTGGAGTGCAGTGGTGCTATCATAGCTCACTGCAGCCTTAAACTCCTGGGCTCAAGTGATCCTCCTGCCTCAGCCTCCCAAGTAACTAGGACCACAGGCACATGCTACCATGCCTGGCTAATTTTTACACGTTTTTGTAGAGCCTGAGTCTTGTTATGTTTTCCAGGTTGATCTCTAACTCTCGGCATCAAGCAATCCTCTGCCTCGGCCTCTCAAAGTTTTTGCTTTTGTTTTTTTATTTATGTATTTTTTCAAGACTGAGTCTCACTCTGTTGCCCAGGCTGGAGCACAGTGGTGCTGTCTCAGCTCACTGCAACCTCTGCCTCGCGGGTTCAAGCAGTTCTCCTGCCTCAGCCTCCCGAGTAGCTGGGATTACAGGCATGAGCCACCATGTCCGGCTAATTTTTTGTATTTTTAGTAGAGATGGGGTTTCACCATTTTGGCCAGGCTGGTCTCGAACTCCTGACCTCAAGTGATCCGCCCTCCTCAGGCTCCCAAAGTGCTGGGATTACACGTGTGAGCCACCGTGCCCAGCCTTGTTTTTGTTTTTTAATTAAAACCGGCCTGCGGCAGGAGCTCCACGCGTGGAATGTGGAAGACAGCGGCTTTCCCAGGCCTTCCTCCTCGTCTCGGTTCACTTGCACTGCTGTAACAAAATTCCTGAGACTGGGTAATTTAGAAGGAGAAGAAACTCATGTTCTCACAGTTCTGGAGTCTGGGAAGTCCAGGTTATGGTGCTCGCAGGGGCAGGGGCTGGTGAGGGCCTGTTTCTCACCAATGGCACAGTCTGTCTTCACGCGGCATAAGAGAGTGGACCCACTACCTCAAGCCCTTTGATAAGGGCCCAGAGCCCATCCGTGAGGCTTCACCCTCAGACTTCCTCCCCCTTGGAAAGGCCTCTCCTCTTCCTAGTATCACACTGGTGATTAAGTTTCAATATCTAAATTTTAGGGGGTATGTTCAGACCACAGCACTCCTCAAATCCAAGCAGGATGTAGCAGAAGACAGAGGAGAAAGACTGGACAGAGCGTCTGTGTCCTGAGCCCGCAGGGGAGCTGCGGGCACCCTCAGGAAGTCCCACAAGGAGCTGTGGGCCAGCCACCATCAGGTGACAGGTGGCAGGAAAGGGGGCTCTAGCCCTGGAGCCCAAGGGCCTGCATGTGAGGAAGACGCTGTCCAATTGCCCCTCAAAACCAGGATCTGTGGAAACAGAAAAAAACATGACAGCAAGGCCTCACATCCCACAAGGACTCTAGTTCCAGGGGTTATGGAGCCTGCATGCCCGGCTTGGGGTTCCAAGGACCTGGCTGTCATTGCGCTGCTGGGTGATGTCAGACACGTGCTGTGCGCTGTCTCTTGCCACCTTCCCTGCAAAGCCATGAAGAAGCGGCGGGCAGAGCGGGCACCCCGCAGTGCCAGGCCCCTCCCCTTTCCTGGGAGCCTGCACTTTCAGGTCTCCCTTCACCGTGAACCGCGAGGCCCCTGGGAGGGCTAAGCGTTTCTGAAAGCAGGTGCTGCATCTTCACGAGGGGCTCAAGTGTGGCCCCCAGTCTAGCAGCACCAAGGTCACCTTGAACTCATCAGAAGTGCCAAGTCTAGGGCTCTACCCCAGAACTGCTGAATCTCAATCGACACTAAGCAACACCTTCCCCCAGGTGGCCATCTCAGGGCTGCTGACATGTGCATACATGCGTATATACATGGATCCACGCATGTGTGTGAATCAACTGGGACCCTGGACAGCTGTTAGAAAACGTGGGTTCTCGTCTTGGTTATAACATGGATTTTCTGGCTGAGTTCGTCCGTTGGCAGTGCTGTAAAGGAATACCTGAGACCGGGTCATTTATAAAGAAAAGAGCTTTATTTGCTTCATGGTTTATTTGGTTCAGGCTGTACAAGAAGCATAGCATTGGCATCTGCCTCTGGTGAGGGCCTCAGGAAGCTCCCAATCATGGTGCAAGATGAAGGGCAGTCAGTGTACCCCACGGCAAGTGGGAGCAAGACAGACGGGGAGGTCCCTGACTCATTTTAACAACCGGATCACGTGTGAACTCAGAATGAGAACTCACTCATTACTGTGAGGAAGGCACCAAACCACTCATGAGGGATCCACCCCCATGACCAAAACACCTTCCACCAGGCCCCACCTCCAACACTGGGGATCACATTTCAGCATGAGATTTGGAGAGGACACACATTCAAACCATATCATTCCACCCCTGACCCCCCAAATCTCATGTTTTTCGCACATTGCAAAATACAACCATCCCTTCTCCCTGGTCCTCTGAAGTCGTGACTTTTTCTAGCATTAACTTAAAAGTCCCAAGTCCAAAGTCGCATCAGAGACTCAAAGCAAATTCCTTCCATCTATAAGCCTGTAAAATAAAAAACAATTTACTTCCCAGATACAATGGTGGTACAGGCATTGAGTAATGATTCCCTTTCCAAAAGGGAGAAACTGGCCAAAAGAAATGGGGGACAGGCCCTGCGCAGTCCGAAACCTAGCAGGATAGACATGAAACCTCAACGCTCCAACATCATCTCCCTGACTGCATGTCCTGCATCCTGGGCACACTGGTGTGAGGGGTGGGCTCCCACGGCCCTGAGCAGCTCTGCCCCTGAGACTTTGCAGGTTGCATCCCCCATGGCTGCTCTCCAGGTTGGACTTGAGTGCCTGTAACTCCTCTAGGCAAGCTGCTGGTGGCTCTACCATCCTAGGGTCTGGAGGGTGGTGGCCTCATTTCCACAGGTCCACTAGGCAGTACCCCAGTGGGGACTCTACGTGGAGGGTCCATCTTACATTTCTGCTCAGCATTGCCCTAGTAATCTCTCTGCAGGGACTCTGGGTGGAAATATAGGTGGAAGCTGCCAAGCCTCCTTCACTTTTGCACTCTGTGCACCTGCAGTCTTAATACCACAAGGAAACCGCCAAGGCTTACAACTTGTGCCCTCCGAAGTGGTGGCCTGAGCTGTACCTGGGGCCCTTTGAGCCAAAGCTGGAGCTGGGGTGCCAGGGATGTGGGGAACACTGTTCTGAGGCTGAGCAGGGTAGCAGAGGCCCTGGGCCTGGCCCACAAAACCTTTCTTTCCTTCTAGGCCTCTGGGACTGTGATGGGAGGGGCTATCCTGAAGACTTCTGAAACGGCTTTGAGGCCCTTTCCCATTGTCTTGGCCATTAGCGCTTGGCTCCCTTTTAGTCATGCAAATCTCTAGGAAGTGGCTGCTTCAGCTCCCTTCAGTTCCTCTCCTGAAAACGCTTTTCCTTCCCTACCACAAGGTTAGGCTGCAAATTTTCCAAATTTTTACACTCTGCTTCCCTTTTAAATGTAAGTGTTAATTTTAAGTCATTTCCTTTTTCCTGTATCTGAACGTAGGCTGGTAGATGCAACCACACCACATCTTGAATGCTTTGCTGCTTAGAAATTTCTTCCACCAGATACCCTAGGTCATCACTCTTAAGTTCAAACTTCCACAGATTCCCAGGACTTGGACACAATGCAGCCCAGCTCTTTGCTGAGGTGTAAAGGGTGATCTTGGCCCCAGTTCCCAATAAGTTCCTCATTTCCACCTGAGACCTCATCATCCTGGACTTCACTGTCTATATTTCTATCAGCATTTTGGTCACAACCAGTTAACAAGTTTCTAAGAAGTTCCAAACTTTCCCCTTGTCTTCCTGTCTTCTTCTGAGCATCTTCAAACTCTTCTACCTCTTCCCATTACTTAGCTCCAAAGCCACTTCCACACCTTCAGGTATCTATCTTTATAGCAACACCCTACTCCTCAGTACCAATTTTGTGTATTAGTCAATTTGCGTTGCTGTAAAGGAATACCTGAGCCTGGGTAATTTACAAAGAAAAGAGGTTTATTTGGCTCACAGTTCGGAAGGCTGTACACGAAGCATAGTGTTGGCATTTGCTTCTGGTGAGGGCTTCAGGAAGCTTCCAATCATGGCAGAAGGTGAAGGGGAGCCAGCATATGTGGCGAGAGGGAGCAAGAGAGGTGGAATTGGGAGGGGAACCCCGACTCTTTTTAATAACCAGGTCTTGCATGAACTCAGAGCGAGAACTCACTCATTAACATGAGAACAGCATCAAACCATTCACAAGGAATCCACCTCCATGACCCAAACACTTCCTACCAGGCCCCACCTCTAACCTTGGGGATCACATTTCAGCATGTGATTCGGAGGGAACACACATCCAAACTATATCACTGGCGACTCTTGGCAGATCACAACTTTGAGCATCACTTTTCTCCTTTGTAGACATGAAAGTTCTGGCTAGCTGTCATTTGGGCTCCTTATCCTTTCTTGCCCCAGTTTGCCAGGGGCTCTCTTGGTCTTAAAATTGCAAGCCACAGCTGGGCGTGGTGGCTCACGCCTGTAATCCCAGCACCTTGGGAAGCCAAAGTCGGGGGATCACCTGAGGTCAGGAGTTCAAGACCAGCCTGGCCAACATGGTGAAACCCCGTCTCTACTAAAAATACAAAAAAATTAGCTGGGCGTGGTGGTGGGCACCTGTAATCCCAGCTACTCAGGAGGCTGAGGCAGGAGAATCGCTTGAACCCAGGAGGCAGAGGTTGCAGTGAGCTGAGATTACGCCATTGCACTCCAGCCCAGGCGACAAGAGCGAAACTCTGTCTCTCTCACACACACACAAAAACAAGAAACAACTGCAAGCCACACATTGAAGGAGCCCTCTGTTTTTGTTTGCCTCCTGGGGCTGCCATAACAAAGTAACCCAGACTGGGTGGCTTACAACAATAGCAACGTATTCTCTTGTTCTGGGGGCCGGAAGTCTGAAACCAAGGTGTTGGGGGGTTGGTTTCTTCTTGGAGGCTCAGAGGGGAATCTGCTCCAGGCCTCTCCTGGCTCCTGGAAGTGCTGGCAGTCCTTGGTATACCAGTCTCTGCCTCTCTGTGTCTACATTTTTTTTTCCTTTTTTTTTTTTGAGACAGAGTCTCACTCTGTTGCCTGGGCTGGAGTGCAGTGGTGCCATCTCGGCTCACTGCAAGCTCCACCTCCCGGGTTCACACCATTCTCCTGCCTCAGCCTCCCGAGTAGCTGGGACTACAGGCACCCGCCACCACGCCCGGCTAATTTTTTTGTATTTTTAGTAGAGACGGGGTTTCACCGTGTTAGCAAGGATGGTCTCGATCTCCTGACCTCATGATCCGCCCGCCTCGGCCTCCCAAAGTGCTGGGATTACAGGCGTGAGCCACCGTGCCCGGCCCCAAATTTATTTTTCTTATAAGGCAGGGATCCCAACCCCCAGGCCATGGACTGGTCTGGTCTGTGGCTTGTTAGGAACTGGGCCATACAGCAGGAGGTGAGCAGGGGGCGAGCAAGCATTACCAGCTGAGCTCTGCCTCCTGTCAGAGCAGCGGTGGCTTCAGATTCTCATGGGAGTACGAACCCTATTATGAACTGTGCGTGCGAGGGACCTAGGTTGCATGCTCCTGATGAGACTCTAACTAATGCCTCATGATCTAAGATGGAACAGTTTCATCCTGAAACCATCCCCTCAACTCCAGTCCGTGGAAAAATTGTCTTCCATGAAACTGGTCCCTGGTGCCAAAAAGGTTGGGGACCACTGTTCTAAGGACACCAGCCATTGGTTTAGGGTCTGCTCTAATCCAGTATGTGCTCACTTTAACTTTGTTCGTTGGTAATGACCCTATTTCCAAATAGAGTCACATTCACAGGTACTGGGAATGAAGACTTCAACATGCCTTTTGCCGGGAGGCAACTCAACCCACAGCCCCCCTCAGTCCAAGTCCCCAGGGGGTGGTGAGTGGCCTGGCCACCTCTGCGGTCCCACAGTCCTGTCACTCCGGCCCGTGCTCCCTCCTAATCTGGACAATAAGAGCCCTGTGCCATTATTGTCCAAGCCAGTGCTTCTCAAAATGCAGCCCCTGAGCTCGCAGCAGCAGCAGCAGCAGCGTCCCTGGAACTTGGAAGACATGCAGATGTCCTGCACCTGACGGGGCCTCTGCAATCAGGGACTGTGCGGGGGAAGCCAGCCTGTGTCAGCGAGCCATCCAGGTCACTCTGATACAAGCCAATATGTGGTAACTGCCGAGCCAGGCGGCTGCGCTGGCTTAGAGCTGTTACTGTCATTCTACAACTTTACAACAATGCCCCAGACACAGAAAAGGTTGCGCCTTGGAACGATTTCTGTTATGGGATAATAAAAATCCCGACGTCAGAGCTAAGGAATGTGACCTTCCGCTGCTCCAGTTGTAACTCCCTGCTGTCCTCCTGCTTGAGCCTTTTAGGGTAAAGTTCAGCACATATCACCCTCGTCAACCGCGCCCCGTAAGGCAGCCACAGAGTCCTGTGCTGATGTACTTGAATTCCTTGCTGATCTGATGATGATGGGAGCAGGAGGGGAGTGGAGGGATATACAGAACGCCAGGCGGCAGCCACGCGGTGCAGGCAGAGGCTCTCTCCTCGCAGGAGCCTGCCAGCTGGCTGTTGTGTTCTTGTAGGGAATAAATCAGGAGGCACAGCTCTGCCCGGGGCTTTCTTGGGCAGTAGGAGGAACTGGGTGAAAGGTCTTGGCTGCTGAGGCCACAATATTTCCCGAATCCTGTGCTATTTCTTGTGAAACTACGAATCCAAGACTGTTTCCTAGATTGTGGCAGATGTGGGACCCGGGGGGACCTTCAGAGTCATCTCCCAGGCGACTCTCTCCTTTGCAGATGAGGAGCTGAGGTCCCACCGCTCAGAAGCTGACTGGGCAGGTCAGCAGCCTCCCTGGCCAGGACACAATCTGCTGCGCTGCCACAGGGTCTGGCTGGGCAGGTGTGGGACTGAGCTCTGGGGACCAATAGTGACACCGCACAGGCAACCTTCAGCATGCTGGACATGAGAACGAGGGCGGGCCTGCAATCCTCGGATCACTGTGTTGGTAGTTCTTAGTAGATCATACTGTTCTTGATGCCTTGGGCCAGACTGGAATGAAATATTTTTTCTCGGATTTGGTAAACTCGTTTGCTGGGGTAAGTCGTGGTGTTCCGTATTGCTTTGGATGTGTAGCCCAGGAATAAGATGGCAGCACTGCAGGATTCCGGAGCCACCCACAGCACCGACTGCTGCTGGAGATACACAATCATGGGCACTCGTGAAGCTGCAGAAACTCACGGGGACCCTGACACCAGGTGAGAGCTCCAGCTGGCAGTCTGAGGTTAGCACACCCGTCCTCAGGACTGTGGCTTGGTGCTTCTATAGCACTTTGGAAACATCCAGGGTTTTCATACTTTTGGCTGTGACAACGATCCCTGGTGAAGGGAAGTTTTAAAATAAAAGAAGATCACAAAATATAAAGGAGTTGCCCAAAGGTTTTTATTAGCTGTAGAGGGGGCCAGGACCGGAATGTTCCAAGTCTTTGTCCCTGACTGGGGATGAAGCTCTGACTGGGGTTCCCTGTGGACAGGCTCATGGGCTATGTCCCAATGTGGTGTGGTGGAAACACAGACTAAGTGGGGGATCAAGTAGCTGCCCCTTGACCTCTCTGGACCTCGGGTTCCATGATCTGAAAACAAGGATGTTAAATTAGATCTGATTCTTTCCAGTTCTAACCCCACAGCAGCTCTCACCTGGCCATTCTGTTGCCCTCTAGGAAGTCATTGAGGTAGGGAGGATGGGCAACACAAAAATTGTTTTTTTTCTTTATATAAAACATCCCCTTCTTGGGGGAGGGTAACGAGGTGGAATGGTTCTGGAATCTCCCAAGGAATGCTTTGAAGGCATCCTGGTTCAAGGATTGCTAGGCAGTGTGGGCAACCGGAGTAACCACAGCATCCAGAGGCTTCTGCGAGCACACACACCTCCTGGAACCTCAGGCTCTGCTGAGGAGGCTCTGGCACAGGGGCAAGGCAGCAGTGTGCACACCTCTTAGACTGGGGCAGCAGCCTGCAGGCACTACAGATATTCCCCTGAGAGCCCAGACCTCTACAAGCATTGCTATGAGGCAGCAGCACATTCTGGGGCATCTGAGTGACTTTCAGACCTCTGGGTACAGCTGCAATCTCAGTCTGTTTGTATTAACAATGGCAGAGGGCACTGAGCAGGAGCAGCCCTTCTTTGTTGGGAGCTGGTGTCAGGTGGACTCAATAACGACAGGTCAAATGGCAGCACAATGCACTGTATACATGGTGGGGAATTTTAATCACACAGCAACAGGTGCAGGCTAAATTCAAAAGAACCTGTCCAGAAGGTGGTGCCCTACAAAGGCGCCTCTGCTCATTCATTCAGCAGCCACACCATCAGGAACTGTGCAGTAAGGACCCCAGGAACCTAATGAGAACACTGGCAAAAACTGTCCAAAAAAATAAACGTTTCCAGAGCTCCGGAAATTAACCAAAGGCTCATAACAATCCAGGGAGTGTTGAAGGAAATTGGCTGAACCTCAGAGCAGTGAGCATTGTGGCATTTTTACTGGCCCTATTCACAGCCCTCCAAACCTCTGCCCCTGAGCTCCCTGGTAGCCTTGAAAGCAACAGCAGCAATCCCCATAAAACTCAGCAGCTTAGCAGCCACAGGAAGGGTCAAGTTGGGGTTGGAGCTCAGTGACCTCATTTGCCTGGTCTGGTGGTTCCACCTGCAAGCTAGCCTGTGACCTGACTCTGAGCTAGGCTCACCCAGCACTTTCTCCCTGGGGACGTTTATCAAAACAATCAGCAGCAATTTAGTTGACACTGGGGCAAACAACAAGCTAACAGAAACTGGAAAATGAGATGCCCACAGGGGGCCTGGGAAGCCATTATGTTTCTGGGGTTACACAAGAGCCTGCAGGCTCCAGGCTGAGTGCTGCTCATGAAATACCTGAATAAGTTGGGTAAGTAGAAGTGCTGACAGCAAAACTCTCCCCCCAACTTTTATACCCAACAAGACTATCCTTGAAAAATAAAGAAGACATTCCCAGATAAACAAAACCCATGATAACCCATTGCTGGCAGACCTGCTCTAGAAGATATACCAAAGGAGCCCTTCAGGCTGAAAGAAAAGGACACTAGACAGTAACTTGAATCCTAATGAGGAGTAATAATGGGCACCTGTAAAGGCAACCACATAAGCATGTAGAAAAGACAACATCAATGTATTTTTTAATTGTAACTTCTTTTCTCTATTTGATTTAAAAGGCAACTTCATAAGCCAATTGTAAGCCTGTGCTGATGGGCATATAATATATAGAAATGTCATTTGCATGACAATAGCAGCACAAATGAGAGAGGAACTGGAGCCAAGCTTTTGTATGCTATTGAAATTAAGTTGGTATGAATCTTAACTAGAGTGTTATAATAAAGTAAGATGTTAACTGTAATTCCCAGGGCAACTGCTAATAACTTAAAATACACACACACACACACACACACACACACACACACAAACTACAAGGAAATTAAAATGGCACAGTAGAAAGTATCTATTTTATAGGCTCTGTGCTAGGAGGAGCTTGGAATCAAAGATGTCTGAGACACTGTCTCCACTCCAGCCAAATCTAGTCGAGTAATACACAACATACACAATACAAGGAACAAAAGTGATGATCAGTTATGACACATGCTGTACCATATGATAAAACATGAGTGCTTGGATAGATTCACAGAGAGGGGTGCTTCAGGCCATCCTAGAAGCCCCTGGGAAGAGACAATGTTGAGATCTGAAGGGTTAGAAGTCTCGGGAAGGGGTGTCCCAGGCAAAGGAAAGAGCCCCAGAAGCCCCCATGGCTAAGAGAGCTTTCTGGCTCTGGAAACTGATCAAGGCCACTAACTAGACAGGGTTGAGCTAAGCAGCAGCAAGGTCACTCTGAGCCTTGAGGCTGGGACACACGGATTTGGCACAATCATCACGGAGGGATTTTAAGCAAAGGAGCAACATGATACTGTTTTTACAAGCTGGCTTTGGCTGAGGTGTAGGGGCTCAGAGGGTGTCCCATTGCAGACCAGGATGCAGTGGAGACAAAAATGGACAAAACACAAGGTAGATTTTTGAAGGCAAGGCCCTTAGGATTTGTTGATGGATCGGATGGGAAGTATGAGGGTAGGGATAAAGAACAGCTCCCAAATTGCTAATTTTCATACGGACCCAGTGAATAATGGTGTCATTTCCTGAAACAGGAAGTCCAAGAGAGGACCAGGTTTCCAAGGAAAATCAAGAATTCAGTTTTGGACATAGTAAACTTGAGATGCCTATAAAACACCCAAGTAGAGAGTCTGTCAAGATCAGCCTGGAGCCCAAAGAGGTCAAGGTGGGAGATAGACATTTTGGACTCTTCTGGTTACACAGAGTTACAGCTATGCTTGAAGAGTATCAAGGCAGAGGGTGTAGGCAGGAAAAAAGGTCTGCTGAGAGGTTTGATACAGAACAGCCAAGGAGACCAATGCACCAGCAGAGCTGGCAGGCTGACCAGGAGATGGTGGGGTAATGATGACGCAGGGGAGACGGCGGTGAACTGTGTGGAATGCTACCGAGAGGTCAAGAAAGCAACCGGAAACTACTAGATTTGGTGACAAGCAGGTGAGAAGCCATTCAGGCAAGAGCATGGCTGGTGAACCAGTGGGGAGAGATGTCCAGAGTGGATGGACAATTTAGTTTTAACAAAATTCTATCACACTAATTTTAATTTGTAATGTGATTTTATAATTTGTATTTTAAAATTTAATTTTGAACTGCAAAATATTTTGGATATAGTTTTATAGTTGCACTTCCTGTATTTCAATAAATCTAAGACTACACTTACGTACCACAAAGAAAAGCATTACCTTTTCAACACAATTTTTTTTTTTTTTTTTAAGAGACAGGTCTGGCTATGTTGCTAGCTGGAGGGCAGTGGCTACTTACAGGCACACTCCCACTACTAATCAGCTCAGGAGTTCTGAGCGCTGTTTCCAGGTTGGATGGCTTCACCCTTCCGCAGGCAACCTGGCGGTCCCTAGCTCCCAGGTCACCGTATTGATGCCGAACTCAGTGTACACACAGGATTAGCACGGCATACTACAGCCCAGAACGCCTGGGCTCCAGCAATCTCCCACCTCAGCCTCCTGAGTAGCCAGGACTACAGGCACATGCATCATGCCCAGTGACAATGTTTTATCACTGATTATAAGACTAATGCTCTGCCAGGCGCAGTGGCTCAGGCCTGTAATCCTAGCACTCTAGGAGGCCGAGGTGGGCGGACCACCTGAGGTCAGTTCAAGACCAGCCTGACCAATATTATGAAACCCCGTCTCTACTAAAAATACAAAAATAAGTCGGGTGTGGTGGCATGCGCCTGTGATCCCAGCTACTTGGGAGGCTGAGACAGAATTGCTTGAACCTGGGAGGCAGAGGTTGCAGCGAGCTGAGATTGTGCCATTGTGCTCCAGCCTGGGCAACAAGAGCGAAACTCTGTGTCAGAAAAACCAAACCAAAACAAAAAAACAAAACCACGAATGCTCAATCAAGTAAACGAGTCAACTGTCTTCTTGGGATTGCTGCCTTGGGCAGCTGGACGGGGGCCTACCCTGTGTGGCATCTCCAAGGTTCAGCGCAGGATTGACGGCACACAGGGGTGCAGGTTTCTCTGCTGTGTTCATGGCACTCAGAGAAGTGTCTGGCACATGGCAGGTCCCCAGGGCATATCTGAAGGAATGTGTGCACTGCGTCACATAAAGAAATGATACTATGCTCCCTCCACTCAGGAGGTCCAGTCCTTAAAGGACCACCTCAGGAGAGTTCAGTTGAACTTGAGTTTCTAGTACAATATGCTGTTCTAAGTTCCATTTACATAGACATAACTGGATGGACTAGGTCCCCATTTTCTGTTCAGTGCTCTTACATTTTTAGTCCTAAGAATAACCCTGGTAATAAGTAACAATACTGTGTTGTCAAAATTTAAAAGGTGATTATTTGGCCAGGCATAGTGGCTTAGGCCTGTAATCCTAGCTACTCAGGAAGATCACTTGAGCATGAGCCCAAGAGTTTGAGGCTGCAGTGAGCTATGATCTGCACTCTAGTCTGGGTGACAGAGTGAGACCCTGTCTTTAAAAATGTATTTGGTGGAAGTCTTCTAAAGCAGAAATTTCATCCTGGAATGACAAATGAGGCAAAAATATTTAAAAGATCCAAATTAATGGCATGTGTTTTAAGAACATAATTTTTCATTAACAATCAACTGCAAAGCAAAACTATATTTTATTAATAAAGTCAATGGTAACATTTGCTTACGTATTAGAAATAGCCCTGTGAAATTTTAGCTGCAAAAGGGAATCGTTTAAAAAGCACTGCTCAACTCCAAGTTTGACTTACAGACAAGGTAACAGCCACCAAACAAATGAAATCCCTCTTCTCCTTTACAGCTGCTCCTTGGACAGAGGGAGGCCCGTCATCTGGGTCTGAAGGAGGCTCCCAAGACTCTGACACAGAACACTAAACTCCAGGGTGTTCTAGGACAGTGACAGGCAAGGCTGTTCTCAATCATCTCCTGTCTGACACGGACATCGAGCTAAGCTATGAGCAAGGGCGAACAATGCCTCTCAGCAGCTCCTCCTCCTTGACCAGGCTCCCGACCACGGAGCATTTCAGTCAAGGTCTAGGGATTTGAGGGTGGAAGGAGAGAATTTCATCACTGGGGAGGAACTCCCCTCACAGACCCCCCAGGGCCACTCAGCTTCAATCAGCTGTAACCCAGCCCCAACATCTGCAGGCCACTGCGCAGGGAGTCCACGGTCAGCAGCCACCTCAGCACACCTCCTCCTGTGGCCACATCTTCACTGGTTTCTGGAATCCAACCTGGGGCCTTCCTGAAGCCAAGTGAGAAACTCAGGACAAGGCTTCTCTTCTTTGAAAGCCACATCAAGTAGCACAAAGGACTGAGGTTTGCAGCTATTTTATTTACAAGTATACATTTAACACAATGAAATAAACACTGATATACTGAAGCCTAGTTAATAGTAGTGTAACAATATGCATCATTTTGATGATTACATTATTTTAAACAACAAACTACACTGAAAAATTAATGCCGATAAAATTCTTGGTCATAATATTAAGAAATACAATATATAAATTGAAAATATGATTGCTTAAAATTTGAAAATGGAAGTGAACTCATTTGGACAGACTCAGAGTTAACATAATCTGAAGGGAGGGGAGCTCTGACCCAAATGATATCTTTCAGGTTAACAGAAGAAAAAAGAAGCATAGTTTATCTTCAAGGAGAACGGGCAGTTTGCTTCTTCAGGTAGAATATATTCCCAGTGTCCTCAGGCTTTGCAGCAGAATCACATCACCGAGCATGAAGACTTGCCTTGTGAAGCTGCCCCGTCCATTTTTTCTGCCTCCAAAATTATCCTTCGAAAAACATCCACAGCAGTCTGAAAAGAGAAAGAAACCCAATCACAGTGTTAGTGTGAAGCCGAACTCCGAGAGTATTTTACGGACTGAGGAGGGCGTGCCGCCTGCCCTGCCCTCCTACTGGTGGAGGAGGAGGGGTTCTGGTGAGCCCCAGAACTTCAGGGCCCCCCGACGCCCAGTAAGGCCACTGTCCACCCCTCCTGACCCAGACCATAACCAGCCTCCGATTGTGCTTTTGACCCTGTTTCCTTCAGGCACCAGGAGACGCCCGAAGAGTCCTCACTCCCAGACTCACCACCATCTCCTGTCCCACTCCACCCCATGACCCCCACCCCAGTGTCCTCTGACCTCAGGGTCCCTCTTCACTTCTGGCACTATCTTTCCTCCTTTCCTACGGGACATACTCTCCCAGCAGCCCTTGCCTCTCACATCCTTGACACTAAGAGGCCTGAAGTGGGGAAGGCACCCTCCGTGCTCCTGAGATGCCACGATGCCAGCCTCCAACACCTCTGTGGCGTAATTCTCGGTCATTTCAATCCACAAACTGCCCTCCCTATCTCCTGGCCTCTCCTCTCCTGCCCGTCTTCCTGCCCTCAGCCTCAGCCCAGGGTCAACCCCACCAGTCCTTCACCACAGACAGGAATCATGGCCACTTGGAGCAGGAACTCTTCCTACACTGAGTGGGGAGGAGAACTGTCAGACCCTGTCCTTTATTTTTCCTTTTTTGTTATACAGATTGGAGGTTTCTATGTTGCCCAGGCTGGCCTCGAAAGCCTAGCCTCGCCTCCTTATGCACCAGGACAACAGGCCTGAGCCACCGTGACTCCCAGACCCTGTCCTTGAAATGCAGTCCTGTGGTCATGAAAAACTGCCCCTGTTCTCAGAAGCCCCACAGGAAGTACCCTGTTCTCCTAATCACCAAGAATCCCCCTCCCCCATCACTCCAGTGACTTCCACTATCCCACGAAACCAGAACACACCAACTGCCAGCGTCCCACCACACCACCTTCCCAGCTCTTTCTCTAGCTATCCTGAAGCAACAATTCTCAGCCCCACAAGGGGCCTGATTTGTTGACCCTATTATTACATCTCCCCTGTCCCTTAACCACTTCTTGCTGCTCCTTTCCCTCTCGGTCAGCTCAGACTCAGCAGGCCACCATGGCGCCACTGTACTTCAACTCCCTTCCCTACCAACTGTCGCTGGCACGGTGCCCGCGGCCACACCGTAAACGCTGCCCAGGGAAAACACACACCGCTCACTGCTGACCTCACACCCATGACCAGGAACCTGGCGCAGACACTTGGTGCTGCCTAGCCACCCGCCTGCATCCCTGGATCTGGGCACTCCCCAGAGAAAGCATCCACGCCTTGTCCCTTCTCCTCAAATGTTCCCCGTGCTTACGCTCAGCTGAAAACCTTGTTTTACACACTTCACTGGAAAACAGAAGCCACATTCATGAAAGAACTCCACATCCTCCATCCACCAAGCTGACCCACCCACTTGAATGTGGGCTCCCATCCTCAGCCTTCTGTCCTGTTGGTATGAATGAGGCGTCTGTCCTCCTAGTTAACTGAAGCCAACCCCAGGTCCCACCCCGCTTGTCTAATCTAGGTCACCGGCTTCAGATCACCTGATTGACAGGAAGCAGTGTGTAGAGAAAAAAGGACTAGATGTGGATGAGATCTACAATTCAGTCCTAGTTCTTATACCACGTAAGGTAGTGGGTGATCTTAGAAAAGTCATTTAACTTCTCTGAAACTTAATTTCCTCACTTCTAAAATGAGGCGGTTTAACTACATGATCTGAAGGATACAGTCCATAGGCACTCAATGGATTTAATTCAATTTTTAAAATATAGGTATCTCTTAACTATCTCAATTCTTATTTGAATTCTGTGTATACTCAGAAACTGAGCTGACTTCGATAAATCCCTTGCTATCTGGAACTTGGGAACGAATTACACACATCTGTTTAATCAGTTTTTTTCATCCGCACATAAGAGGACATAACCACATGGATTCACTATCCCTCCATATCCCAACACAGGACAAAGCCAATTTGACTATCACAGGATACTTGGGCTGACGGATAACCCACTGTGCTAAACATTATGAAGGATATTTATATAAATGATACTGACTCAGATCTCAGAACAAATTAAGAGGGCTAAGAGAAGAAACCACAATTTCTTTCAGCTGGATGGATCCAGAGGGGGTCAACAAGAAGGTGAAATCTAGGTGGGGCCTTGAGGACTACAAACCTCCGTGCTGCGGAGAGGGGCGGGGCAGGGAAGGAAGAGTGCCAAGGCTGCTGGCGCCCGGCCCTCCCAGGGAGGAGGCACCACCCTACTATACTAGAGTTTCCTCAGAGAAATGAAAACCAAGTCATCTTACCTGAGGATCAAACACCACCACATGTTGAAAACACATTCAAAATATAAAACCCCACATGAACCTAAGTAGATACTTAGAGAAGGGCTATTTTAAACCGGAGGGGAGCATGAGGAAAGGTGAGACATTTTGAAAGTGGGGTGGACAGGAGATGGTGTGTTTAAGGAAGGGAGCAGTTTGATGTGATGGAAAGTACAAGAACGTGGTGAGAGAAGAAACTAGAAAAGAACAAATTATTGACTGCATTCAGGACCAGGCGAAGGGTTCTATAGAGAAGGGGCAGTTCACTGACAGTTTCTGAGTAGAGGATGATACCATCAGATGTGTATCTTTAGAAAATTAAGGGCAGCAAAAAAAATGTATAGGTGAAAAATGCACTGGGGGCGGGAGACAAGCTTGGTGCCGGGGGTCTAAATTAGAGCAATGGAAGAGAAGGGCTCATACAGGACTGTGAAGCCTCCGGAGGCAGAATCTACATCCTTCCCAGAACATGCCTTTGAAGGCACATCTGCGGGGTGAAATTGGTACTAAATGCTTATAAGATGGTTCTTCATCATTTCTATGTTAACAATTAACACGTACGTCTGACCCGGTTTCATCTAACAGAAAAAAAGCCAGGGGGTGGGTAGTTACAAAATTAGTACTAAAGTGATATAATTCTTTTTTTTTCCCCTGTATGGACTTATTTCTGTACCAGCTATTAATACAAACCAAAAATATATGTTTACAAAAGGTAGTATTTCCTTTACTAATAGTTTCTGTTTATCCTACAAATATCCTAGGTTCCACTGTAAGTAGAATACTGACTGAATTTATAAACACCTAAGTAGTATCTTCCTAAAGCAACACAAAACTTGGTATTAGAAATGGAGGAAGGCCAGATGTTACACAGGAGTGATCAAGACAGAGGTCAAATGCCAACTGCAAGGAACACATCCCTGCGACTGATGAGAACGCAATGCAAAATGAGGTTTATAGAATCTGTTACCTGATTTTCTTTAGCAGAAGATTCCAAAAAAGCTGCATTCCAAGATTCTGCCAAAGCTTTCCCTTCTTCATAACTGATCACCCTAAAGAAAAAATAAAATTCTAGTTAAAGTACTTTGCTCTTCATTATATAAAACATGTATAATTGATTTATGAAACAGGCTCCATTTTGGTCAATTTCTTTCTCATGAAGCAGAACCATGCCCTGGCCTAACATTAGCATCAAGAATGTAACACAGGAGTGTTTTAATTACGCCTGAGCTGGGGAACAGAATAGACATTGCTTTATGGGATTATCCATGCTCCAGCAAACCTTCCAGCTCAGAGAACATGATCTTATTTTCCAGTACTCCCGTATCTGTAACAATTGACTATTTTACAGCTAGGTTGTAAGCACCCAAGGCCAGGGGAAATTGTGAAAGAGCCTGAAAGCTCAATTCTCTTGCATGCAGGCTGTAGAGTCTCTTCCTCTCTGACATGAAGCTGCCTGGGCAGGGGACATCTGCCTCCTTTGCTCCTCACTGTAATCCCAAACCCTGGTACTCAAAAACCACTTGCTGCATAAATGAGCACTATGTCTTTTTAGAATTTGCTTTATGCAAAGTGGCAGATAACCTAAAGGTAGTTTCCTATAAAGTTTGCTCTCTCTTTTCTAGAGGAATGTGAGATTTCTATTCCACTTTTGCTTCTGCTGCACACGACCATAACACCTCTGAACGGATAAAAATGCTACAGCTAAAAATATTCTTGACATCAGAACAATAATTAAAATGATACTTCAGTGACTAAATCATCTTAGATTTGACTTTATAAAAGCTACATACCTTTCCATATGCAGGTCTTTCTTATTCCCAACCAACATAATAGGTATTCTATTTGTAAGAAAAAAAAGACAAACCAGTAAGTGCCAGATTGTATTGCTCAGAAGATACTATTAAAAGAAGTTTCTCTAACAAGCAGATAAAATGGTACTACTTACTGTACTTTCCCCACCATATCCAACAATTTGCCATGGATAACTTTAATCACTTCAAAACTATAAAACAAAAAGTATAAATTAGACATCCATTTTAATGTTGAAGTTTTTAAATGTATGTTATGTTGCCAGCTGGAAAAATGTAAAATGTCACAGACTCACCATTTTAACATAACATAAAATGAACACAAAGAACTCCTGTTTTTTCCTAGCAATCCATTCACATGTGCATACATCTGACACTCAGCAACCCTGACTGAGGATATTCAAAGTGAAACAGGTAAGGCATTCAAACGGAAAGCCTACCACTGGGCTGAGAAACCACATAAATGCAAATTTTAATCACCCAACTCATTCAGCAAAGAACCAACTGTTTACATTACAACTTGAACAGCTTTTCCTAGAGTGCCCTAGTACATTCAGCCTGCTCCTGTGTTCTTTCCTAGGTACATACATTCTCTGGGTGATGCCAGTATCTCTTGGCTTTCAATCAGATCAATGAGCCGATGACTCTAGGATGGAGGTGGCTCTCACCGGGAAGGGGATCTGAGATGTCATAATGATCACTTGAAATCTGCCACAGCAGGATTATTTATACCACTGACTGCTGGCAAATGGCCACAAATCATTTTCCACCCTCCCCCAAAAAACCCATGCAAACATCTGCCAGCACATCACTGGCTCTACTTTCAAATCCTACCTAGAATCTGACGGCTTCTCACTCCCCTCCACTGCTGCCGCTGAGGTGTGAATTCCTGGCCCAAGTCTGCCTGCATCAGTTCCACAGCCCCAACCCTTCCCCGCCACCCCTGCTCAGCACAGCAACCAGAGGACTCTGCTGCAGCAGATGGACGGTGCCTGGTTCAACATCCTCTGATGGGTGGCCATCTTTACTCGGCCCCAGTGACTCTCAAGCCGCAAACTTCTGACCTCGTGATCCGCCTGCCTCGGCCTCCCAAAGTGCTGGGATTACAGGCGTGAGCCACCACACCCAGCCTCAAATGTCACTTCTTACACCTCTTCTGTTTACCCTAAATGACAAATTTCCTTTCCATTTCTTACCCCTTCCGTACTTTATTTTTCTTGGCAGCATGGTCACAGACATCCTATCTCGCATGTGTGTCGTTTTACTGTTTGTCTCCCACACCAGAAATAATAGGTCCGCAAGGGCAGGGATTTGTCTGCTTTGTTCATGATTGCATCACAAGCTTCAGAATAAGTTAGCTTGTTGAATGAATTACACACTGTGCTATTTTAAACGATGTGTGCTGTCATTTGATAAAAACAAAAATGAAATTTAACCCCCCTACAAGCTCGCTGTGGGTCAACAAATGGGATATGGGTGTCCTAAGGACCTGCGGTTGCATTACAGAACCACGGTTTCCTCCGCATGCTGTATTTGCCTATCTTTAAAAGTGTCGCCACTTGGGCAAAAATACAGTACCCTGTCACGTGAGAAACAGCTGAAAGAACTAGGACTGTGTGGCAGGCAGCTTGGAGCCGGCTCCCAGATCTCCTGCTCTCCTAGTGGCCACACTGTGTGTCATCTCCCTGCATGGACCTAGTGACGTGCGTCTAATGAACAGAATATGGCAAAGGTGATGGAATGTCCCTTTTGCGGTTAGGTTATAAAAGACAGTGGCTTGTCATGCAGGAAATTCCCTGGCTCTCTTGTGCACCTGCCCCAATGAAGTGAAGCACCTGGCAAGGAGCAGAGGGCAGCCTCAGGCCAGCGGCCAGCAAGGAACTAAGAAGCTCAGTCCAACAACTTGCAAGAAACTCAACCCTGTCAAGAGCCACGTGAACACGCTGGGAAACATCTTCCCCCAGGCAAGCCTTCAGATGGGACTGCAGCCCCTGCTGATACCCACACTGTGGCTCTGAGAGACTGAAGCAGAGGACACAGCTAGGCCACACCCAGATTCCTGACCCACAAAAACTGTGAGATCATAAATGTGTACTGTTCTAAGTGGCTAAATTTCTTGAGATCACTGATTTTCTGAATCAAACTGGTTGATTCGGAAAGTTTTACTGACGTATTTCTTGGATATTCATAAATATTTGTGTATTCAGCATACAGATTTCTAAAAAACAAAACACCACTCTTCTCATACTCCCTCATGTCTCAAATTTGAGAATGCTGATTAAACTACGAGCTACTAGAAAAAAAAGGCATTATTTAAAACAGCCCCATTTGTTCCCAAACCCACTTATGCCAGTTAAATTCATCATAGTCATAATTTATGTTGCAAACTTTTGAAGTATGTGTAGACAGAGTTTTGTTTGTCTGAAAACTAGAAGTTGAATACTGTGAGTTGATCTACTAAAAACGGTGCTCCTTAATAAGGTGTGCCAAACCAACTGAAAAAGACTGGTGGGGAAAATCACAGCAATCTAAATAGTTGAGGTGTAGACTGTTTCCCAAGCATCTCACTCGGAAGAAACCGAACCAGAAGTCATAATGGACAAATCGTGGATGTAGTCATACTGAACAGCAGTGGGTGAACTCATATTCAAAGATGACAATTTGAAAATTTCACAAGATGAGTGACTGAATGTATATTTATGCTTTAAAACAAAACACTGGAGATTGACATCACCTTTCCGATTTTTTTTCCCTTTAACCAGTGTTGTTTTTTTGTTTTTTTTTTGAGACACAGCCTTGCTTTGTCGCTCAGGCTGAAGTGCAATGGCATGATTTCAGCTCATGATACAGTCTCCGCCTCCCAGGTTCAAGAGATTCTCCTGCCTCAGCCTCCCGAGCAGCTGGGATTACAGGCACCCGCCACCACACCCGGGTAATTTTTGTATTTTTAGTAGAGATGAGGTTTCACCATGTTGGCCAGGCTGGTCTCGAACTCCTGACCTCAAATGATCTGCCCACTTCGGCCTCCCAAAGTATTGGGATTACAGGTGTGGGCCACTGCGCCTGGCCCTTAACTAATGTTTTAAAGTAAGTAACCCGGCTGCCTCAGATAGGAGAGATCTACTCCTATATCAATATACCCAATTTACAGGCGACAAAGGTACGGTGAAGTAACTTGTCCAAAGTTGTTAGTGGGGATAAATGAAAACCCAAATCTCACATCTCTCAACTGCAGGTTTCTTTTTTCCATTTCTAGAAATTATGAAATAGGATGTATTTTCGCTTTATTTACTCAGAAAGAGCAATTCTACAGGGGTTTTATGATATAAAGGAATAATGTGAGACTTCTGTTTTATTTCACAAACAATGAAAATGGTTATTATTTAGATAGAGGTTAAATTCAATAAAAAGGATTAGACAATTCTGATCAACAAACTGGTTGATTCAGAAAGTTTTACTGACATATTTCTTGTATATTCATAAATATTTGTGTATTCAGCATATAGGTTTCTAAAAAACAAAACACCACTCTTCTCACACTCATGTTTGAGATTTGAGAATGCTCATTAAACTATGAGTTACTGAGGTAAAAGGCATATAACAAAAGAAAACACACCCATTTTAGTAAGGAGAAACTTGGTCAAAACTTGCAACAGTGCCACTGAGAAGACACAGTACCAAGCTTTTTGTCCTCTGCTTTGCACTAGGCCAGTGTTTTCTCAAATACATAAGGTCCTTGGTGAGCACACTTTCATATTTTTAATCCAGCTCAATGTATTTTTCAATTTCCCCAGTGGCACATGCTATGTTTTCAACTTGATTCTATAATGTCATCTAATTTGTGCACACCAAAAAAGAGACTTAAAAAAAATCAGTGGATGCACTAAGAAAATTTTCTACCTACTACTTTAATGCCTCAAAGTAACAATTTGTAAAGTAACACCAACACTGTTTTCTAAAAATCAGCTAGGATAAAATTGTACTTACCAACAACAAAACAATCTTTGAATCATGTTTTTCAAGTAAATTAGTAAAATAATGGAAATTCATAAACAAACATGAACTTCCAACATTCATTAGATTATTGGTACACTAAATTTGTTCTGGACAAGGCCTTACACGTGGCAGTATATACATTTTAAAAATATACAACTGAAATTAAAAAAATCTTTGTATAAAAATGGCCAATAGTTTTACTATTTAAAGTGCTCTTATAAGTCAGTAAGAAAATGATCATGTTTCCAAATACTAAGTACACAGTGGTTTTAAGCATAAAATCCAATCCAAGCATTGCTTTCAGTGACAATATAAATAAATACATTAAACAGGAAGAGAGATATCCATCTATCATTGAACATGAAATATTATAAAGCCATTTACTATTTCAAATACTAGGTAATATGGAAAAATATATATTACATGGTAAGTAAAAATATAAAAACATGGAAAATATAAACCATAAAACAGCATTCAGAGAGCAAATAAAAGGATGTTAAAACAATCCATGCAGACTAAAACAAAGACCAGAAAAAACATATACCAAGATATTAACAGTATCTATGCTTAGGTAATTAGATTAAGAATGATTACCCTCACTTTCTATTTTTCACAGTTCCTCAATTTTCCTTAAGGAACACATAATTCTGGTACTTGGTTTTGATTCAGGTGTAAACTTTCTCGGGGATTGACAGTATGGGGTCTGTTTATAAGAATGGCCGAGAATGGTACTCAAACATTTTATAGCTAGAACTCAACACCCTAAAGTATGTTTCTCTGCCACGGAGAAAAATGTTAAACAACACACTCACAGAGCAGCAGACTGAATTTTCACTGGCAGTGGAGTATGTGGGGGTAAGGAACCCAGACACTGGCCAACATGGCAGCCTCCAGCCACATGTGGCTACTGAGCACCTGAAATGGGGCTACTGTAACCGAGGGAGGCTTAATTTTCCATTTTTAGTTAAACAGCCACCTGCAGCACAGAGAGCAAACACTTCTATCACCGCAGTAAGTTCTATTGGACAGTGTCAGCCTTGACTGTGGAACTGGAGAGATGGCTATGAATCCCAGCAATGTCATTATGTAGCCCTGGGCAAGCTGCTTTAGGTCTCTGTCACTCAGTTTCTTTCCACGTAAAGTGGGATATAAAACATCTCTGATGAAGGATTAAGGTAATGATGAAATAAGTAATGTATCATATGTAGGCAAAGAGAGTAGCAAACTCCCTAACATGTCGCACACACTCAATAGATGCTACGTAGCCACCAAACGCCCTCCACTGGCACTGATATTTTCATAAAGTCTTCAAACATAAGCTGTCACCAATGCCCAGAGCTCCGCTGCTGTATACAGCCAGCTGTTCTGTTAACAGACACAGACCACTGCTCCTCCTGATAATACATGCCATCCCCCGATAAGAGGAGACATGAAATACGTAGCTAGAGGAACCGATATCCATTCTTATTAATAAAAATAGTGGCTTTGTTTTTATGTAGTAAAGTCAGACTCTATTACCAAAAGGTCTTATTTCATAAATTCAAAGGATAAGATATTGAACAAACCCAAACCCCCACATTTTATTAGAAAGTCTATTTCACCTTAATATGGTAAAAACACACACAAAGTAAAATTAATTTAGGCATTTCCCATTTCAATTAGCAGAAAAGCTTAGATCATGCTGAACCACTGTTTTTCTAGGTAGCTTGAGGTAAGAAAGAGCCTTTTATCCTATTGGTGTAACTAACAGAACATCTAGTGGGCCATGTTTCCCAGCAATCCAGTTGCTCCACGAGAAAATCACTAAAAAACATGTAGCCTAATAATTCTAATTGTCACTATTAATAATTCCAGCACAGTCCCTTAAAAGGATCAATGTTATCTATGAGTAGCAAATCAACTCAAGCAGGCAGCAGGAGTCTTACCTTTTGATTGATGTAACAGAATACACAAGAATATAGCCATTAATATCTATGGAGTATGTCTGAGGAAAGATAGAATATTCATCCTGTGGGGAAAAAAAATTATCTTTGAGTAGTCTTCATATAGCATCACAAACAAACTTTACCCAAAGTTTTTCATGTATTACCTGAAGAAATCAAAGTAGACGCAGAGTGGATTACAATATTATGCCAGAAACAGCCTACAAAGTGAAGCTTTAAGAATGGCCTGGAGGTGATAATGTGGTTCAAGCCAATATTTAAAAATGACTAGCTGTTCTAGAACTTTAGGGGAAAGTCTGATGACCTTCATAATTTCTGGGAGAAGAGGATGGATGGAACACAAAAATCATTGGCTCTGTGATCTCAAAACAAGGGATGAGCATCACTAACTCCAGAACCTTCTAGACCTCAGGACATTTATAAATCCTGCTGATTTATCCCATAAATCTGTATTTTTATATTTGAAACTGGCATATTATTTGATTTATTCTCTGCATGTCAGTCACAATGACCTGAGCTTCAGTCTACAGGTTGCTAGAGGGGTGCCATCAGCATCTGAAGGAGAGAGGGAGAGAGGGAGGGAGGTGGGGGAGAGAGAGAGAAACAGAGAAAGAGAAAAGAGGATCAAAACACCAGGTTCAATTGAGGTATTCAGACTTTTGGGGACCAAGAGAGTTATTTACTGAGCAACTCTAGGAATTAAAGAGAAAGGTACCTATTACGCAACAGCACAGTAGTCTTTAGTTTTATAAAGCAGCGTTATGACACTTTGCTTTATATACGTATTAAAGCATACAGAAAGTTCTGATGTCAGTGCAGTTTTCAACAGCACGCGCCACTGTCTGGTACGAACGTTTCATTCTTAGTTGAAACTAAATTGTCAACATAACACATGTCCTAAGCACTATTATGGAAAAATCACATCATGGTACCAGAAGATTAAGCAGCAGTCTATTATTTTTGTAAACTTATAGTATGGTTATAACCACTGTTTATGACAGCCCAGAATTACTGCCCTATGGTAAAGTTCTTTAAAGAAAAAAAAAAAAAGAAAAGAAAAATTAAGTTTTATTATAAATTCTTTGATATAATAAATAAGATTAAAAACAAAATCCCAAATGATTTTAATCACTAGCTCAGCTAGAGTAGGTTCAAAGTTAAAATTCTGTTTTCCCTAAAGGGAAACTGTGGAAACATAGAAAAAAGAAGTTATGTCTAAGAAGCACTGAGTAAAAAACTACCAGTTAGAAGGTATAATGGAGGAAAGAGCCCCCAGCTGATATAATTCTGATTTTTTTTTTTGAGACGTAGTTTCCCTCTTGTTGCCCAGGCTGGAATGCAATGGCACTATCTCAGCTCACTGCAACCTCCACCTCTCAGGTTCAAGCGATTCTCCTGCCTCAGCCTCCTGAGTAGCTGGGACTACAGGCTACACCACCACACCTGGTTCATTTTTGCATTTGCAGTAGAGACAGGATTTTACCACGTTGGCCAGGCTGGTCTCGAACCCCTGACCTCAGGTGATCCGCTTGCCTTGGCCTCCCAAAGTGCTGGGATTACACGTGTGAGCCACTGCACCCAGTCTGATTTTTTTTTTTTGAGACAGTCTCATTCTGTCACCCAGCCTGGAGTGCAGTGGCAGGAGCTACTGTGCCCGGCCTTTAAAGTCTACTTTCTGAGAAAGAATAATAGCAATATAACAATATAATAGCAATTGGGAGGGCAGCTGAGTAGAAATCATAAAGCTCTCATAAGTAATACTGTACTGGCTCACAAACAGAACAGACTGAAAAATCCAGAAAGACCTGACAGATATGAGAATGAGGTACATGATAATATTGGCATTTCAATCAGTGAGGACCAAAAGTAACCCTCAACTGAGTGTAGGGACAAGCCCAGAGCCACCTGAGGATGAATGGCTAAGCTGGAACTCCAATTCACACTTTGGCAAAAACATATTCCAGAGGAAGCAAAGATTTAAAGATGAAAACGATGCGTATGATAGATGGGAGAGCTTAAAATACATTATCAGTTAAAAAAAGATTAATAAGGCCGGGCACAATGGCTCACGTCTGTAATCCCAGCACTTTGGGAGGCCAAGGTGGGCAGATCACAAGGTCAGGAGATTCATATCATCCTGGCTAACACAGTGAAACCCCGTCTCCACTCAAAATACAAAAAAACTAGCTGGGCGTGGTGGCGGGCGCCTGTAGTCCCAGCTACTCAGGAGGCTGAGGCAGGAGAATGGTGTGAACCTGGGTGGCGGAGCTTGCAGTGAGCCGAGATCGCGCCACAGCACTCCAGCCTGGGCGATAGAGCGAGACTCCGTCTCAAAAAAAAAAAAAAAAAGATTAATAAATAAATTCAACTATGTGAAAAAGTTCTTCATGGCTGCAAACCCCTCAAATAAAAACCATAAATAAAAGACAAACTGAAAACAAAACTGTGCATCTCAGATCATATACAAAACGCTAATTTTCTTCACATATCAAGGGGAATCTCACATCAACACGCAAAGACCAACCACCCAATAGAAAAAAAATGGCCAAGTACACAGACAGGATAATTCATAGGGGGAAAAATACAAACATCTTCTAACATAGGAAAAATCAAAGCCCCTCCTAAGAAGAAAAGTGCATTATTAAAAGTACACTGCATTTTTAAAAGTACACTGCTTTTTCTCACCTATCAGATTGGTAAGTACCAAAACGTTTGCTAACACATAGTGCTGGTGAGGGTGTAGGGAAATAGACACTCTCATTCACTGCTGGCAAGAACATGAACTGTAACCCTATGATAGCCCACATCCAGGAAGTTTTCCTATGTGCATTATTACCCTATGTCTAAAACAACGTCCGGGATGTTCATTAAGGGACTGCTGATGGTAGCAAGACCAGCAACAGTCTAACTGTTGATCAGCAGTTAACTTAGGATATATATCCCAACAACTGGATATTACGCAGCCTTGGGGGAAAAGGAGGCCATAGGTATTGATATGGAATAATCTCCAAGAGGGAGATGTATTACTTTTTGTGTAAAAAGGAAAAAAAACAAAACAAAACCCAAGCTTAAAACTATATTTGCATATTCATGTATCAAGTATCCTAGAGGCATATACTAGAAACTGGTAAATGTGGTTGCTGGTGGGGGTGGGGGGTTAGATAGCTAGGGTAGGAACGTCTTAAGTTTTACTATTTACACCTTTTGGCACTATTTATTTTTGTACCATGCGCATTACACCTATTTTTTAAAAATTAAACTCAATTTTCAAAAAAGCAAATTTGGTTACATTATAAGATGGATTGTCATTGAATCAATTTTAATTATTATTAATTATTATTTTTTTTTTTTGAGACAGAGTTTCACTCTTGTTGCCCAGGCTAGAGGGCAATGGTGCAATCTTGGGTTACTACAACCTCCGCCTCCTGGGTTCAAGCAATTCTCCTGCCTCGGCCTCCCAAGTAGCTGGGATTATAGGCATGTACCACCATGTCTGGCTAATTTTGTAGTTTTAGTAGAGACAGAGTTTCACCATGTTGGTCAGGCTGGTTTCAAAATCCTGACCTAAAGTGATCCACCCGCCTTGGCCTCCCAAAGTGCGGGGATTACAGGTGTGAATCTAAGTTATTAACCCATTTATGCCGGAGGTTGCAAAATTTTTTTTTTCATGAAAAATCAGACCTTGGTGACCTTGAGCAGTAGGATATAAATAACTCCCACAAGCTTAACGTTCCAATAATGTAACACCAGGCATAAATAGGTTAATATAGAAGAGGCTACTTTTTTTTTTTTTTGATACTTCACATTCTTACCCCAAAATTCATTTAGGGTATATGTTCTCACCCTAAAATTGGGCAAAACCAAAATATTTCATGCAATCTAAAAATAATCTGTATTTAACCATGTTCATCATCATTCCTAGGTGGGCAATTAAACCACTATTAAACCATAGTGGTATGGATGTACCGACATAAACTACTAAGTAGTAAATAGAACTTGCTAACAAATACCGCTATGCAGCAATTCACTGCGTGCAATTTCACTCCTGAAATGTGGAAGCCAGTGAACAAATTTACTATAGATTACTTTTAAAAGAATTTGCCCCTTAATCATTTTACCCTACTACTACCAGTCTTAATCCTAGAACCAGCCCCCGTATGCATCCAATTTATAAAGCAGCTCTTGGAGCAGTAAACACCTGAGTTTGTTATCATCCAGTTTTCAACAGAATGAAGGGTGAAACCACGGCAGGACATGCCTGTGTGCCACCATCCTGAGCTGTAAATAAAGAGCACATCTTTAATTTATTGTCTCTCAACTGTAAATATAACCTTCAAGAACTACTAGTTGCAATGACTACAAATAATTTAAAGTAGCCAAATTTGGATATATTTTGTGCAAAAATTCTCCAAATACTCTTACCCAGTTGTAATATAACCCGAAGGGGCAAGACAACAGGGCTGCTAATATGACCACTGCTCTTGTCTTATCTCATATCATATACTCTTCCTAAACACTGGTGCTTTTGGTTTCACTATTTGTATTACTACATCACTAAAATATTTTAAATTGTTTGATACCTGAGTGTACATTTATGTTCCAGGGCAAAACAGTACCCCAGAGGAACACATATTCCAACTTGATAAGTAGTCAGTATAAAGAAATTTATTCTTTAGAGAAATCTTTTCAAAGACAGCTCTCCAAGTATTAAGAACATGTGCACTTCCACCATGCAGCCTGTCAACACAGTTAATATGCTGGCGTCACACTTGCCTCAGCAGCATTGAAGGTCTACAAAGAAAGAGCACAGCCTCTTTAACCCCAATGTGACAATCCTGCAACAATGCCAGTTATCACTATTTATAGATAAAGCTCTGAGGCACAGAAAGACTTCTTCACCCTTTTATGTAAAGAGATGGGATCTCGCTGTGTTGCCCAGGCTGGACTGCAGTGGTGCTATCACAGCTCACTGCAACCTCAAACTCCTGGGCTCAAGTGATCCTTCCACCTCCCACAGTGTTGGGATTAAGGGCATGAGCCACCATGCCCAGCCCTCATTCGCTTCCTTAAGGTTACTGGGTTAGCAACAAAAACCAAGATTCAAATCCAGGCAAGTGTAACCCCAGGGCCCACACTCCAAACAGTTATGAAATACTGGTTCCCTGAATTGCCTGATACAAAACGTGTTTCCACAGTAACATTACATGAAAGTGATTTATCAATTTACATTCTCATCACCAGTTTTCAGGAGCTTAAAGGAGATTCCAAATAAGGATACAAAAGCAAACTGAAGTCTTGATAGTGTCAGAGTCCCACAATAAACAGAACAGCTGTATTTCTTTGCCCAGGACATTCTAAGTTACACTGTTGTCCCAACATAATTATTATTAGCACCCCCAGCCCACAACTCTGAAAGTGTCTTGGTTTAGGCAATAAATTATATAGTCAACTATAAAAGAAAGATACAAAACCCAACAATCCAAAACAATTTCCTACTCAAGCGGCTCTTCCCTTCCCTACTAATTTCTAATGAGCCTCGTCATCTGTGCCATGCCCCCGACCCCCTAACAGAGACTTCTACTGCTCCCCTGGTCCATATAAGCCCCAACTCCTATTCTTCTGTCAAGAGGACAGGTATCAGGGGGTGAAAGCCTAGGATGGCTCTGCTCTAATGAAAGCATCAAGAATCTGACTGCTAAAGCACACTGCATCACCACCAGCAGGGAGTGTGTAGGGTGAGTGAAGGAGGCACATGCTATAGCTCTGTGTACAAGCTCAAAGAGCCAAACACATTTATTTTCTTCCAAGCTTCCAAAATGGAAACCTCAGGGTTCCTCCAATGCTAACATCACTCAATACAGCTATCTTCTTGCTTCACTAAGGCATCACACTTTCCTTCTATGTTTACTTCAAAATGCAAAGCAGAGGGAATTCATTCCAAACCCACAGGACAGGTCATATTATTCTGGGTCTACTCCAATTTCCCCAGATTCCAGAAAAATAGCCCCCATTTAACACAGCAAACCAGATCACACTACACTCACCCTCCTGCTACTCTTATCCTTTGATTATAAGTTGCAAGGGCGGGCCAGGCATGGTGGCTCATGCCTGTCATCCTAGCACTTTCAGAGGCCGAGGCAGGTGAATCACCTGAGGTCAGGAGTTCAAGACCAGCCAGGCCAATATGGCGAAACCCCGCCTCTACTAAAAATACAAAATTAGCCGGGTGTGGTGGTGTGCCTGTAATCCCGGCTACTTGGGAGGCTGTGCCAGGAGAATTGCTTTAACTCAGGAGGCACAGGTTGTAGTGGGATAGCACCACTGCCTTCCAGCCTGGGTGACAGAGCAAGACTCTGTCTCAAAAAAATGTTGCAAGGGCAGGAGTTAGGAGCTGAAATCCCAGCTTCTTTACATTCCTCACCCTCCAGTGAAGAAGGGTAAATTCAGTCTTACAGAATAGTTTCTAGTAAAAGCAGGCCTGGATGTCATGGTAATGGGGCAGCTAAGCTGTCAAAAGGGCTTTTCTTTGTTTCATGTACTCCTTTCCCCCTTGCTTCCAGCCAATTCCCTGGTGATCCATTCCACACATCCCTGCTACATTAACCGACATGTGAATATCCTTTCTGGGGGGATTATTTGACTTTTGGCCATTATCTACTGTCTATCAAATAAATTGAAACTCCCTAATCTAGTAATCACTCTCAAATCCACCCACCCAGAGACTCTACTATATAAACTAAAGCCAACACTCAAACCAGAGCCTGGACTCCAGTCAAACTGGTATTTTATGGCCCAGGTCCTCATAAGATTAAATCAGCTAATTTCTGCCCTATGCCCCTCTTATGCCTTTCCTCTAGAAAAGATGTACTTTTGCCCTAATGTAGGAGAACACATATCACAAAGAGAAAGAAAGCAACTAATATGACTCTCTAATATAGAATTAAAGTTTAGAAAATAGAAAACCACTATCCTGTAATAAGTATTAACCCTTACAATGTTAATATATTTAAAGCAATTCTAAAGCAGAAAAACAAGTTATTAAAAGATAACTGCCAGAAATGTCTTAGAAAAGACCAAGTAGACAGCATACTAACATTTAGTTATCTGTGTAAGCTCCTTGACTTATGATGGGGTTACATCGTGATAAACCTACTGTAAACCAAAAATATCATGAGTTGAAAATGTATCAAATACCTCAATAGACCCATCGTAAAGATGAGAAATTGTTAAGTCGAGCCACTGCAAGCCAAACCATTGGGAGTCAGGGACTGTCTGCACACAACCTGAGGGGTTTTCTTGGCATAGCTGGTACTTTTAAAAATCAGTGCTAGGACCAAGACTGTCAGATATGCTGTATAAGATTCTGAGATACCAGAGGTCACTTACTTGCCCGGCTGTGTCTACAAGTTGAAGATGATATTCTTGTCCATTTACTGTGATCAACTTTGTAAAAGCTACAGGGAAAAAGGAAATTAAACATTAGTTTAAAAAAATTAACTCGAAACCACCTGAAGTTTGAACAATGACAACCAATCAAGCACAGAGTCCCTAGCAGTCTCAGAGAAAGGCCCCATGAAACAAAAAAGAACAACTCTCTGACTTGTATAGATTCTCCCCTACTTCCATTATTTAGCTAGGAAATACGGTGACTGGCTAAAATCAAGCTTGGTAAACCTTGATTCTTTTTCAAAGAGACAAAGTACGCAACAATTCATATCCTATAATAGTAATTTGAATGCTGTGTGGCAAATCCTTCCTCTTGTGAAAAAGTGAAATATACTACGTAAAGTCTGAGGTCTAGAATAAACCAAAACCACAAAAATTTTCCATTAATTTATAGGAAGTCTGGCATCAGAGCACAAAGAGCTAATATTAGTTAAGTGCTAAGAACTTTTAGTACATAAAAGAAGTAACAGTTTTACTGACGGATAAAACAGCAATGAAACAGATGTTCTGTGTTGAAGCCATCCTTCCCACTTAAGCTTAAGGATCCAAGCAATTTGTCACAACTTCTTTTCCCTGACAAGGGAGGAAAGAAAATCAGACTTGAATAACTTCCGGAAAAGTCAATTCAGAATTAGAGGGAGACAGACTTCAAACAAATATAGACAAAAGAGGAAAGAACTACTAACAGAAACAATGTAAAAATAACCACCTGGAACTCTGACAAGGAAGTGGAACAGATTTATCTTGCATACCCGCCCCAGCCATCTTGACTCACCATGAGTCCTCCAATCTCCTGATTGGCCGTCCTATATGACTAGAGCCAGGCAGCAGAATCTATCCCTCATACAACTGAGAGAGGTCCCACTCTACCCACAGCAGAAAGGCAAAGCTGACACAGACAAATGGAAATTATGTGAGAAAACTCTAAGTAATAAGGAGGATTGATCAGAGATCTTATCTGAGTTATATGAGTTCCACAGGGAAAGAAATGATGGCTGAAAGACAAGCAATCATCACAGAGAACCATATTAGCGTCACACTTTTCTAATACAAGCAGGGGGGCCAAAAGTCAGGTGAGTAAAGATAACAGACCACAGCATGAAATCAATGGCCACACTATATTATGCTTGTACCTGTTCCGGAAGTTATCACTTTTAGGAAACAGTTAAATCAGATGGAAACTGAATCGGAATATTTCAAGCTGGGGGGATACCCAATATAACCTATTTCATCAATTCTAAGAAAGAATTCAGATTTGTTTTTACACCTTATTCTCTCTGAACTTGGGATGCATCCTGCACCGCTGGAGGTTTCAGTCCTTGTCAGCCAGGGTGCAGTCACTACATAGCTGTGTGAAAACCTTCAGTCACGTGAGATTGAAGTGTATTTCAGATTTGATGAGAAGTATGTAAGAAACACTGGTGAGCAATAAAACCAGTGACCTTCAATTAGAACTAAGTAACTGCAGTTATCAAGTATAATTATGATGACAAGGTTACTGAAAGGAAACATCATTCATTCATTCATTCATTCAAGAACAATTTCTTGAGTGCCTATTATCACCAGTAGCACTGTTGTGGGTGCTTGGGATGCTGTAGTCTCTGATACTCAGTGAGCTTAGATCCCAGGGAAGGAAAGAAGGTATAGACACACACATGTACCCTCCCACCCTGTCGGGTATCTTCCCTGGGAGTGGAACACCCAGGCAGAGGTTAAACAGCAAGTGAAAAAAGCAAAAAAGTCAATGCAGCTAAAGCTCAGAGAGAACGGTAGATAGCTAACTAGGATGGACAGGAGGCAGAAGGTCCTACAGAACTTGGGATTTTTACTCTGAATGTGAGGAGAAACCAAGGAAAGATCACTCTGGCTACGCTGTAAGTAACAAAAATGGTCCCAGGGATATTAGGCAGGAGCCCATGATACAGTGACCACATGACTGTACAGACTATCACAATCTATAGAGGGTGACACTGGCCTGGATTAGAGGTGGAGATATTCTGGAAATATTTCAGAGGCAGAACCAAAAGGATTTTCTGATTGACTGGAAGTGGGATGTAAGAAAATGAAGAGTCAGGATGACTCCAAAGCTTCTGTAAGTTGCCACTTACAGGAAAGACTAGGGGAAGAATACTAGGGATAGGAGAGGAAGGGAAATGAGTTGGGTTTTAGGGATGTTTTGGGATGCCTATTAAATACCAAGGGGAAATGCAGGCAGTTAAATAAAAAAGCCCAGGATGTAGTGGCTTATGCCTGTAATCCCACTTTGGGAGGCCCAGGCAGGAGGACTGCTTGAGGCCTGGAGTTCAAGACCACCCTGGGCAACACAGGGAGACCCAATCTCCACAAAAATGGAAAAACTGCTCCAGCGTGGTGGCTCACGCCTGTAGTCCTAGCTACTTGTGAGGCTGAGGAAAGATCATTTTAAGCCCAGGTATTCAAGGTTACAGTGAGCTATGATCATGCCACTGCACTCCTGCCTGAAGGACAGAGTGAAAGACCTTGTCATGTAGAATAAAATAAATTATAAAATAAAGCCCAGAGCTGGGGGGAGAGGTTGCGGCTGAGAATACACACTGGTGAGTCAATAGCAAATTGAAGAGAGGGGAAGATTACTTGAGAGCAAGTGCAGAGGAAAGGCCTGAACCAGGGCACCCCATGTTGCCAAGTCAAAAAAATGCAGAAGATTCGGCCAAGAAGACTGAGATGTCATTGTACATAGTGTATAAAAGAAAAAAAAAAAAATAAACATTTGCATCTATCTTTGCATGTAAAAAGAATGTAACTTGTCCTACTTGTAGCAGTAAAATGAAAAAGACCTTCCATCTTGCTGTCATAGGAAAACTGCCAGTTTTTTACTATAGAAAAAAGGGAGGTATAATAAGAGATAGGATAGACTCGGAAATAATTCTACTGTCTCTCATTTTAACCTCATGTCAAAGTGGAAAGCTGGCTTTCTTCTGACATCACTCTCCTTGAGCCCCTTTCTCCCTGCCTCTTTGAATCACCAGAGAATCCATTTCCAACCTAAACCCCTGAAATTCTCCTAAGTAGACTAATAGCTATTTACTAGTAAATGCTACTAACCACGGTCATAGAGGTTTCCAAAATTTGGTGTTCACAAAGCAAGATTTGTGTTACTAAAGTGTGGTGAGGGCTCTTCATTCATACCCTACTGAGAAGTCCACACCCAGGACGCAGTGCCTTGAGAATGCTGCAACACCTAAGTGCAACCTCCCAACTTTCTGGAAGGCGCTTTGTCATTCACTAACAGTGCTACCTTGAGATGGCAGAAGTCGGAAATTGCTGCTATGCTTGCTTTTTAGTTATAAACTACCACTAGCTTAATTTCAGCCTATCAATTTAGTTTGTATTGAGTTGTTAGATTAACACTACAGTAGATAATGAAGTACACTTGCATAAGTAGTACTTCTGCTTTAAAATTTCCCCAAACTAGAAAATATGTGGTTTTATTAATATTATTCTCCTACACCCCTACTGTTAAAGATGACACAGTCCCAGAATTTTTGCTCACCATGACACTTCACTGAAATGTGTCACCACTGAGTGTTTGCTATAACAGCTTGTTCTAATATTATAAAGTGTAAAATAACTACTAAATTATTTCCAGATCTACAGAGCAGTTTTTTAAAATCATGAAACCACCCACTTATTTATCTTGCTAGCAACAAGTTCATGATAACCTTTTCTTTTCTTTCTAATTCATTGTTATCACTGAACAATGTTTTTCTACCAAACAGTGGAGGAAAGGGTGGGCGAAGGGCTCCTGCCCTGTGTTAGGTTATCAGAAGTGTGGTAAGTAGAATATAATGTCTGAACATGCCTCACGAACTTTTAATGGATACATATTCATATTTATTTCTGCTCCTGCCTACAGACTTTAATAAACAAGTACTCTGAATTCATTTTTGAGGTAAAGAAGTCTTCATTATTGAACTGTAAGATGAGAAAAAATTTAAAATATGACCAAAGATGATGTTGATAGCCTCAAAAAAGTAGGGTCATATTACTCTGTTTCTGAGATAACATCAAGTTACATAAGTTGGACTTTCTTCTGATCCATTACTTACTAAGAAAATGTATGTATATATAGCTCCATGATACACAACTCCATGACTTTCCTTCCAACTCAGTTTTTACTTTTGAGACCACATCTTGCTCTGCTGCCCAGGCTGGAGTACAGTGACATGATTACAGATCACTGCAGCCTCAAACTCCTGGGTTCAAGTGATCCGCCTGTCTCAGCTGAGACTACAGGCACACACCATCACGCCCAGCTAATTCCAGCTCAGTATGAAATGGCATGAGGATACAGCCACAATATCCACTTTTAGAGGCAGAGCTTACGAAGAAAACAATCTTCTATTGTTCTGTTAATACAATTCCAAAATGAACCTTATTATTTCAAGGATCTAAAATCCTAAATTGCTTTGTATAGCAAATATTAAGGTCCAAGATGATGATTTTCTTATGTTCTTATTCCAGTGGACAGAAAACCGAGCTTGTTCATCCAGCACTCACATTAATCTGCTCCTCACACTTGCTTACTATTATATAATGACCAGCTAGACAAATCATAGGATGTAATCAGGACTCCTCCCTGTAGATACCCAGAGGTTACTTTCAAATATAACATCTTGAAAGGTTACTTTCAAAAATATTCCTGGAGTTAGTTTATCAACCAACAGGTTTCCTTCTCTGCTACCAGCACACTGGAACACAAAGGACAGCCAAATATTTTAAGCGAGGGGTGAGCAAACTTTTTCTGTAAAGGGCCAGACAGTACCAGTAAATATTTTAGGCTTTGTAGGCCACCTGGTCTCTGCTCTTACTATTCAACAACTCTGCCATTGTACAGCATGTAAAGGACAACATGTAAAGGAACAAGCATGGCTGTGTATCAATAAAACTTTATAGAGGTTAACATTTGAATTTCATATAATTTTCACATGCCAGACATTATTCTTCTTTGGACTTTTATATATTATGCTTAAATGGAAAAACCTTTCTTAGCTCTTGGTCTGTATAAAGACAGGAAATGGGCCTTGCTGGCCTGCAGGCTGTCGTTTGCCAAGCTCTTTACTGTCAGCCAAAGCATTCAAGTGATTCTCTTGCAAGCCTCCGGCCGGTGAAATATGCTTCGTGTCTAATATGCCAA
Organism: Homo sapiens; assembly: GCF_000001405.40. NCBI lineage: Eukaryota > Metazoa > Chordata > Mammalia > Primates > Hominidae > Homo > Homo sapiens. The sequence goes on from NC_000007.14 coordinate 151,489,973, forward strand.
TCAGGTGTTGATGAATCCCATGTTTAAATCTACATGTTCCTGGTGACAAATCCTAGATAAGTCCTGGTCTCAAGAATCTGAGAAACCTAGTTCCAGGGCCCACCTGGGGTTCTAAGCCTGAAAAGACCAGCTTCCCTGCTTCAGATTATCCTTGGCGATCCCTAGAATCAAGATCTGTCTCAAAGCTGGGCACAGTGTTGTATGCCTGTAGTTCCAGCCACCTGGGAGGCTGAGGAAAGAGGATCACTTGAGTCCAGGATATTGAGTCCAGCCTGGGTAACACTGTGAGACTCATGTCTCTTTAAAAAATAAAATAAAATAAATAAATAGTCTCATGGTCCTAGAATCCATCAGGAATATTCTGAAACCATGGATTAAAATTGAACAAAGTAAAGGTCATGGCTGGTTCTGTCTTCCCTGCTTTTTTCTGCACATGGCCTAAAATGTCAACAGGCTTTTTGAGCCAACTTCTTTTTAATGCTGCAACTGCTCTATCCAATCCCAGAATAGTTCATTTCTCTTTCAAATCTTTAGGGCTGGAAAGAAGGGTATAGAGAAATGTGGGTGGGAGTACGGCTTCTGTAAGAATAAGGAACAGGGATCTCGAGTGTTTTTCATTCTTTCAAGCTTGGAATCCCTGGAAACTGCAATGGCTGGGAGAAAGGGGGTGTGGGGGAGAAGACTGTGCTCTCCATTCCTGTTTTGGAGCAGATTCTGGAATTTGAAGATTCCAGTAATGGGCCAGACTCCTACTGACTTGAATTAATAATTTCTAGATGGCAGGGGATGCAGACATGGAAGGAAAAATCTTTCAGGGTAAAGTAGGTAAATCTTTTGCAAGTTTTCTTTGACCCCAATTGGGAGACACACAGAATTTACCTCCTGCACTCAAAGCCTCCATGAATACACAATGGCTATTTTACACAAAAGAAGGCTTCTCAGTTTTTAAGTACTTGAAAACAATACTTACTGTTTTCTATGGTTGGATCGTAGGAGTCCACAAATTGGCCTTCAACAAATTGAATCGTCAATGAGGATTTCCCTATAAAAGAGAACAAGAGCTTAGTGTGTGTTGGCATATGAAGGTAAAAATTTTTAATTTTGCTGTTTTATTAAAAAACCATTAATAGATGAAGACACTGAAGGTATCAGGGTCAGAAAACATTCATTTAATTAGCATGTGAGCAATTTCAAAAAATGAAATAAATTTCATTAATTTGCTTTATATGAGGATATTATGCAATTAAGCTATTACAAAGTAAACATGTCTGTGACATTAACAAATATTACTGACCAACAAGCACATCAGATATTCTGTTAAAGATAATCTAAAAGGTTTAAAGTAAGCTAATTTCCTCTAGTATTCTTGGAATCTTGCTATTTAATTTTAATATGAAAATTAAAATGATTAGTTTCGTTGTATTCATTCATATATGACGGTTAGAAGTGTTACCAAGTACAGCTTTTAAAAAGAGTAATCCGGCCAGGCACCATGGCTCACGCCTGTAATCCCAGCACTTTGGGAGGCTGAGGCAGACGGATCACCTGAGGTCAGGAGTTTGAGACCAGCCTGGCCAACATGGCGAAATCCCGTCTCTACTAAAATTAACAAAAATTAGCTGGGTGTGGTGGCGGGCACCTGTAATCCCAGCTACTTGGGAGGCTGAGATAATAGAATTGCTTGCCCCCAGGAGGCAGAGGCTGCAGTGGGCCAAGATTGCACCACTGCACTCAAGCCTGGGCGACAGAGCAAGACCCTGTGTCAAAAAAAAAAAAAGGGTAATCTGAAAATATGTAACATAAGTCTTTATCTTAAAAACTCCTTTGAAGCTAGAAATCCTATGTCATTCAGTATGAAAGGCCTAGCAGTATCTAGAAATTAAGAAATGTTATGGATTTCACAAAATCGCCAATAATTGAACTTGTATGTTAATAAATCAACAACTAGAGCCTTAGCTTCTCACTCTTCTGCTACCTAAAATGTCTACTGGAGGACTTTAGAACAGGGTACATGCCCTGTGAAGAAATCGCATGAGATGCATAGTTCAGATGACTTTATCACCAGGAATGAGGAAGTGGTCTCTCCCTAATTTCACCTCCAAACCCTTCCTTCTCTCTTGCATCCTTGGAGCATTATTACACACATGCTGTATATGCCTGGCATACTTAACTCCATCACAACAGGACGTGCAGTGAGAGTGAAGGAGAGGCATGGTAACACCCATCTTACACTACTGGGTTTAATTTATGCTTGTTTCTCCTCCAAACTATGGATAGGTATAGTTGCACAATGTTTTCACACCAAAGGCATTCCTTAAAATTTAAATTATTAAAAAGTTGGCTTAAAAGTAGTGGTTGCTGGCCGGGTGTGGTGGCTCATGCTTGTAATTCCAGCACTTTGGGAGGCTGAAGCGGGTGGATCACCTGAGGTCTGGAGTTCGAGACCAGCCTGGCCAACATGGTTGGTCCTGTCTCTACTAAAAATACAAAAAAAGTTACCCAAGCGTGGTGATGGGCACCTGCGATCCCAGCTACTCAGGAGGCTGAGGCAGGAGGATAGTTTGAACCCAGGAGGCGGAGGTTGCAGTGAGCTGAGATGGCGCCACTGCACTCCACTCTGGGCAACAGAGTGAGACTCTGTCTTATAAAAAAAAAAAAAGAAAAAAAGTAGGGGTTGCTGAGAAGGAAAGGCCACAAGTTGGTAGACCTATTTACTCCTTATCCGCAGCCCAATACAGTTCAAAATGTCTCTAGAATTACTAATACCTGAAATTATTCTCTACAAAGCAACCTACATGAGCATTTGAAAATTAAACGCTACTTCTCTGCTTCCAATCCTCATTGCAATTAGAATAAATTCTCAACATTTTTTTTTTTTTTTTTTGAGACGGAGTCTTGCTGTGTCACCCAGGCTGGAGTGCAGTGGTGCAATCTTGGCTCACTGCAACCTCTGCCTCCCGGGTTGAGGCGATTCTCCTGCCTCAGCCCTCCTGAGTAGCTGGGATTACAGGCACGCGCCACCACACCTGACTAATTTTTTTTGTATTTTTAGTAGAGACAGGGTTTCACCACATTGGTCAGGCTGGTCTCGAACTCCTGACCTCATGATCCACCCGCCTCGGCCTCCCAAAGTGCTGGGATGACAGGCGTGAGCCACCGCGCCTGCCCTAAATTCCCAGCTTCTAACCGTGGCCCACAAACACCAGGCCATCCCTGCTCTGGTTACCACTCTGACCTCATCCGCCAACAGCCCCCGACAACCCATCCTGAGGCTCCAGTCACATCCCTTCTGCTCCTGGAGTTCCTGCCTGCCTTGGCCCCTTTACTCTAGCAACCCCCACTGCCCCCATCTCTGAATATATGACTCATCTTTGTCATTCTGATCTGAGCTCAAATGTTAGTTTCACAGAGAAACCTTCAAGACCACCCTAAGGTAGTACCCATTCCTTAAAAGTCATTCTCATAGCTACTGTTTTATTAAGTTATTTGGAATGATATTCATTTAGTGAACACTCCACTGAAGCCAGCACAGGGCCAGCCGACACATTGTAAACATTGAGATTTCTGAACAAATGAACGAAATTAAAGCGTAGATCTCCAAAGGTCACTCTTAGCCATTTAGATACTACAAAAGATCTCAATTTTATACAAATGAAATACAAAACACAGTTCAACAGAAATTAAGAAACAATTCAATTAGTATTTATTGGTACCTAATCACAGGCTTGCCTGTGATATAGGAATACAATAGTTTAAGAATTCCACAAATTTAAAATGAATTGTGTTGAAAAGAAACCATGTTATATATGCTAGCCTGTAAAGGAGAATTTAACTCAAAATACAGCAGAACTACTTCAGGTAACAAAAATAGCAAGAAGAAAACTCCTCTCATGTTATTGAAACTGAAAAATTAGAAGGAGTAAAAAAAAAACAAACTGTTATTTACACTGAATGCTACTGCTTAAAGAAATGAAATTTAATTAGAAAGAAAGAAGGGAACAAACTTCTTAAGGGCTTTTGCAAGGTACTTCTAAGGACTCCAGTGGGCTTTTTATACCCTTATGTGGGTAGGATAAGGGTTTGTGGGGTTTTTGTTTTGCTTACAAATGGAAAGAAAGGAAAGAAAGCGATCATTTTCTCCCTAAAGATATGGGCAAGAGTTACAAAGAAAAAAGGAAATAATATAATTAAAAAGATTTTTGCAACATTTTGTGTAGTAGAACTGGACTAAAAATAGTGAAAGAGGGGCTAAGTATGATACATGGGATAAGCTCCCCAAGCACTGGGCAACCAGGAACCCCTGGATCAGACAGTCCTCTGAACTGGCACTGGCCAAGTCTCGACAACCTGACTTGCGGGAGTGAAGGGACGGGGGAAAAGAGCCTCAGGAGTTTCCCGTGAAATTCAGGAAGCCACATTTGAACAGAAAAGAAAGTTACACACATTAAACAAGACAGCATGAGATCAAGTGCAAAAACGGAGTGAGAGAAGAGCTCCTTATTTGTATCACAATGGGCATACACTATTTGACAGGCTAAATTAACATTTCACTTGAAAACATAAGTAATCATTCCGGTAACAGACAATGTAGTCTAACCAAAATCACATCGCAGGTTGACAGCCAACTGTTGTTTTCATGAATAGTAAACTGGGATACCAGAATTTAAAACGTATTCCTCCAGGGTGGAAACTGGATTTTCAATCAGACTGGCCCTAGGAGAAAGGTACTGTTCATTAGCAGAAGTGGCACTGGAGAAAAACTACGTTTCCCTTGGGTCTCTCCTCCCTGGGGCTCTCCCGCCAAGGTGAGGTCATTAATTATTTAACTAATCCAGAAGGGATAGGAAGGCTATATTTGCTAACATGCTGTTTTTTGCCATTTCCATTAAAAAGTGCTATTATTAACTAGTGTTGAAATCTTGACAAGTCAGCATTAAATGCTAATGAATCTTCATAAATAAACCCCACCGCTCATTTTCAAGTGTTCTCAGTTCCAGTTGTAATTTCTGGCTTTAAGGAGTGTCTTCTGGAGACGTAGTTCAGATCTTTTGGTTAGGTTTTTCTAGTTTGTTTGCAACCACAAAAAGGCATTGGTGATCTCTACTGTGATCACCTTTAACCTTTTTCTCTCAATAACTTCATATATTTACTTTGGCTTTTGTCCTTAGCAAATTCAGGTCTGGAAACACTGTTACTCGCTTGCTGAAGATAATCTCACACTCCAGATCAACTCTTTGGAAAAATGTTACATGAAAACTACACAGGAGTGATCCCAAATAAATGGAAAAGTAGCCCATACTCAGATGTGTGTTTATCCTCAAACACAAATCACTCATTTAATGACATAAATTACTATAAATGGTTTAAAAGGCAGTATCTCAATTCCTACAATTAACTGTCAAATACTCTTCCTCCAAACCAAAACCCACCTTAACTTTTAAAAATAAAAATTATTTTAAAAAATTCTTCTGAGCTTTTATCAGGGAACAGCATTGTATTATTTTTTCCAATGATAAAATGGCACAGTGAGTTTCTCAGCTGGTATTTTCACTACAGAAGGTGTACTTTCAGGGGTGTTGACTCAATCTTATACCTCATGATTACTGCAAAATAGGCACTGTTTACAGAATTATTTTAAGTTTTCAGATTAATATTGACTTTGTTATCATGCTTATTCTCCTAAAAAATAACTTATTAGCCCGGTGTGGTGGCTCATGCCTGTAATCCCAGCACTCTGGGAGGCTGAGGCCGGTGGATTGCTTGACCCCAGGAGTTTGAGACCAGCCTGGACAACGTGATAAAACCCTATCTCTACAAAAAAAATATAAAAATTAGCTGAGTGTGGTGATGTGTGCATATAGTCTCAGTTACTCAAGAAGCTGATGTAGGAGGATCGCTTGAGCCGAAGGGTTGAGGCTGCAGTGTGCGTTGAGCGTGCCACTGCACTCCAGCCACGGTCTGTCCCCCCTCCCACCGACTCCCTACAAGCCCAGCATTTTCCCAGTTTATACATTGCTTGTTCATTGGGATATGATGGGGAAGACCAGATTTTCAATCTATTAACTAGTCTATCAAGGCATTCTGCAGAAGGGGGAGTCCATTAGAACCGATGTAATGCATCTAGGACACAACCCATTCCAGGGCTGCTTTCACCACCTCAAATTCACAACATAACTTTAAGGGGCTTTGATGACCATGGACACAAGCTAACAGTGGGCCTGAAAGCCCACTGGCCTTTGCACCAGTAATCCTCTCCATGCAACTTCAGCAACCCACCTCCTGAGCACACCAAGAAGTGCCTGGTCACCACCCAGACTGCTGTTCCTCTGGCACCTGCCCTTCTTCCCACCTATCAATCAATACACAGTATTCCCCAGTGGTCTCCCTTTCTGATTCTCATCATCTAATCCAAACCATCTCTACCAGCAATGCTTTCAAATCAGTGGTGTGGCCTAACTATTCATGAAGTCAATATACTGAGCCATGACCCATACTATTTTTTTTTTTAAGAAATAGGAATCCCAGCATGGACTGCAAACAAGAAAGGTGTTATGAACCTTCTATCTCAGTTATACATACATTTATTACTGGGTCACAATGTAAAATGTGTTTCTTACTAAGGTGGCTACAGACGAAAAGGTTAGAAATATACTAAACCATGACCTTGAATCTCCAATCTCCACCAGGTTTCTTTCTTCCCTATACAGTATAAGCCCCAAGACAAATCTTCCACTACTCTTTTGTAAGAAGTCTCCAATTTCCCTTCTGTAGGGCCCTTCAACAAACCTCTATGACTTTTGTTTTTTTGTTTTGTTTTGTTTTTTTGAGACAGAGTCTTGCTCTGTTGCCCAGGCTGGAGTGCAGTGATGCAATTTTGGCTCATTGTAAGCTCCGCCTCCCAGGTTCACACCATTCTCCTGCCTCAGCCTCCCAAGTAGCTGGGACTACAGGCACCGACCACCACACTCGGCTATTTTTTTTTTTTTTTTTGTATTTTTAGTAGAGATGGGGTTTCACTGTGTTAGCCAGGATGGTCTCGATCCCTGGTCTTGTGATCTGCCTGCCTCAGCCTCCCAAAGTGCTGGGATTACAGGTATGAGCCGCCGCACCCAGCCACAAACCTCTATGATCTTAATCTAATCAACTGCCTTTGTGAGCCTATTGAGCTCAGCTACAGAAAATTCCACAACCATGTGGGCTGGTGACCCTTAGCAAGCTAAGGTCTATCCCTCCATGTCCCATTGCTTTAGAATACTGAGTGGCTTCTTCCTTGCCTCCAACAGTAGTAATTCTTTCTCAAAGTGTGGGCCCAGCAGCTTAGTACTACAGGGTAACCTGTAACAAATGTAATTTATTGAGTCCCACTCAAATCTACTGGATGCGCAATTCCAGAATGGAAGTATGAACAAGCCCCCTAGGTGATTCAGCTGCACAGTTCAATGTTTAGGAACCACTGCCCTCAGGCAGCAAGTTCAACTATTATCACCTATCGCCTCCAGAGTGTTCCCTAATCCTCCAGCTCCTACCAGCAACTCAGTTCATAATCACTTAAAGGACACCTACTATGGGCCAGGCACTGAGGATATGGCCATGATTAAGACATGCTATGACTTCTGAGCTATGAGGACGGCACTCGCAATGTCCCGATCGCCGCTATCCTCTATTCACCCAGTGTCCCAGCCTTGGTGCACATGCATCAAACACAGTGACTGGAGCTCCTGAGCTGGGCATGTAGCCCTGTCTGCCTTACACGGTCTGACGTTTTCACCGGAGGAAGAGTTAGCCACCCTCCCCTTCCACAAAAGCTGTTCTATCCCCTTGTTCTCTAGATCCCACACTCCCTCCTGGTCTCCTCTGAACCTTCCTCCTCCTGAATTAGTTATAAACACATTTTTAGTTAACTTCATTCCATGTGGCTTGTTATAATGGTATCTCTGAAATATTTAAATATACTTAAAAATCCAACGGGGCATATTGATTAGGCTCCCCTTTGCTCTCAGTGTTACAGGGAACTCTTGCTGGATGCTGCAGTAGTTGGGTGCCACACACTTGACCATGAAGATGAATGCACCTTACAGAAAATGATCTCAGCCACTTACAGCTCCATTTTACTCACCTAAATTAAATGTGCCCATGGGGATGCACCTGTGCGCCCTGCAGAACTATAACACCACTCACAACAGGTGCGTAGGTCCTGGCTTGAGGAACCTTCAAGGAAAAGGTCAGGTAAATAGAGTTTAAAGTACTGGAGGCAATTAAGGAAGAGGAAGAGAAGCAGCTCTCTAACTTTAGGGGAAACATCAATGAAAGAAATCAAACATCAATGCAACCTGCAGAATAGAACTCAATGAGTACCACTGAATTGAAAGGATACAGTAGCTGTAATCCTAGCAATTTTGGAGACTGGGCTGAGGCTGGCAGATTTCTTGGGCCTAGGAATTCAAGACCAGCCCGGGCAACACAGTGAGACCCCCCCAGTCTCTATAAAAAAAATACAAAAAAAAATTAGCAGGGTGTGGTAGTGCACGCCCATGCTCCCAGGTACTTGGGAGGCTGAGATGGGAGGACCACTTGAGCCCGGGAGGTCAAAGCTGCACTCCAGCCTGGGTGACAGAGTGAGACCCTCTCTTAAAAAGATACCACTGAAAAGCTACTGGGCAGAGGCAAGAGGCAAGAGGCAAGCTGTGACTTCTGGATGTCTACCTCCCTACTGACTAAATGATGACATTCCCGCAGAACAGCTATTAGGTTTCTTCCCTCCAGCTCGGTTACACATTTACTTAAACCTCTACCTAGTTTCATCAGTTACAGACAGAATCCCTTTTGTAGAATAAGATTAACTCTCCAGTCGTCCTTTCTCCCAGCTCTACCTCCTAACAGCTGTATTTTTACAGTTCCAAGCATGGCAACATTCCATTCCATTCTGAATCCCAAGTTTTCAAAGATCTGACTATGGATTAATTCATTCATTTACTCAAGTATCTATCTGTTAAACAGCTATTAAGTGCGAGGCACAATTCTAAGCCTGGGAATACATTGATGAATAGACACAAACCCCTTCCTCAGTATATAAATTCTAATGGGGAGAAACACATTAAAAATAAACACAATAGGCCAGACACAGTGGCTTAGGCTTGTAATCCTAGCACTTTGGGAGGCCAAGGCGGGTGGACTGACTGAGCTCAGGAGCTTGAGACCAGCTGGTGAAACCCAGTCTCTACTAAAAATACAAAAAAATAGCTGGGCGTGGTGGCACGAGCCTGTAATCCCAATTACTGGGGAGGCTGAGGCACAAGAATCACTTGAACCTGGGAGGCAGAGGTTGCAGTGAGCCAAGATCGTGCCACTGCACTCCAGCCTGGGATACAAGAGTGAAACTCTATAAAAAACGAAAAGAAAGGACAGGAAAGGAAAGGGCAGGACAGGACAGGAAAGGAAGAAACAGGAGAGTGGGTAAAGGTTTAGGATTTAAACTCATGACTGTGGTGTGAATCCTAGCTGTGTCTTGAAGTTAAGCGCTCTGGGCCTCAAAATCTCTCTGCATCATAATGATTAAATGAAATCACAGATATAAAGCACAGTACCTGGCACCCATCACATACATATTCAGTAAACAGTTATTCAATTCTGTACCACAATCCCATATTCAATCAAGCCTTTCCCAAATTATGATCAACACCTTGAATCCACAAACACCAACTGAAGTCCTACTCCACGTGTAATTGTGGAAGAGTTAGTATAAAATACCTGATTGAAACCTACAAGGAACCTGTAGTCTCAACAGGGAGAAAGGTACTACTAATTGAGAAAAGTCAAATATCACCCTCCTCCACTTTGGAAGTGTCTTTTTTTCGGAGACAGGGTCTCCCTCGGTTGCCCAGGCTGGAGTGCAGTAGAGCAATCAGAGCTCACTGCAGCCTCCAACTCCTGGGCTGAAGGGATCCTCTTGTCTCAGCCTCCCAAGTAGCTGGGACTACAGGGTGTCCCCACCACACCCAGTGAGTTTTTTTTGTAGAGACAGGGTCCACCATGCTGCCCATGCTGGTCTCAAACACCTGGGCTCAAGCGGTCCGCCCATTCTGTCCTCCCAAAGTGCTGAGATTATGGGTGTGAACCCACTGTGCCTGGCCTGAAAATGTCTTTAAAAAAACATGCTGAAGATTTACTTTCAAAAGCCACTAAGGGTTTTCCAGTCAGAAGAGTGACATGAGAAGATGAAACATTAGGAAGATGAGAATGTGACTCTGAAAAATGGACTAGAAATAAAAACTGGACTTTTTTTAGTCCACTTCAACATAGGTACTTATTACAAACCAACAAAAAAAAGGAAAAAATTAATCTCTAAGAAAAAAATAAGAAAACCTTAAGAAGAAACAAAGTATGTACCTGGTTTCAAGACTTACTAGGAGTCTAAAGTAATTAAGACAGTGTGGTACTGGCATAAGGACAGACACAGATTAATGGAAGAAAATGCACACTCCCAAAATAGATCTATACACATGTATCATCAATTGATTTTCAACAAAGAACGGTCTTTTTCAACAAATGGTGCTGAAACAACTGGATGTCAATATCAGAAAAAATAAAAGAGAGGCTGCGGCAGTAGCTCATGGCTGTAATCTCCACACTTTGGAGCCAAGGTGCGAAGATCGCTTGAGGTCAGGAGTTTGAGACAAGCCTGGGGAACACAGGAAGACCAGTCTCTACAAAAAATTTTTAAAATAAAAACAGAAGAGAGAGAAGCTTGGTTTGTATCCTATAAAAATGTATAGGATCCAAAATAGATCATATTGCTTGAGCCCAGGATTTAAGACCTGCCTGGGTCACATAACGAAATCTCATCTCTATAGAAAATCAAAAAATGAGCCAGGTGTGGTGGTGTGCTCTTGTGGTACCAGCTACTGGGGAGGATGAGGTGGAAGGATCATTTGAGCCTGGGAGGTTGAGGCTGCAGCAAGCTGTGATTCTGCCACTGCATACCAGCCTGGGTGACGGAACAAGACGCTGTCTCCAAAATCAAAAAAATCATAGACCTAAATGTAAAAACTATCAAACTTCTAGAAGAAGCATTGGAAAAAAATCTTTGCAACCTGGAGTTGGGTGAAGATTCTGAGGTATAAAATCCAAAGTACAATCCATAAAAGAAAAAAATAACATCTTGGACTTCATCAAAATTAAAAACTGTACTAAGAGCCTTGTTAAGGGAATGAAAAGACAGGCCACAGACTGGGAGAAAATATGTGCAAAGGACCCATATCCAGAATATGTTTCACTCTCATAACTCAACAACAAGAAACAATCCAATTAAGAAAGTGAGCAAAAGATCTGAACACTTTAACAAAGAAAATATTCAAATGGCAAAGCACATTAAAGATGCTTTTAACATCATTATCCATTAGGGAAATGTAAATTAAAAATTACAATGAGATGCTACACACCTAATTAAAATGGCTAAAATAAAAAATATTGGCCATCCCAGTGCTTGCTAGGACGTGGAGCAACCTATACACTCACCCATTGCCTGTGGGAATGCAAAATGGTGCAGTCAATTTGGCAAGTTCAGCAGCTTCTGAAAAGCTTAACCTACACTTACCATATGACCCAGCAATCTCATTCCTAAGTATTTATGGAAGACAAACGAAAATTTATGGTCAACACAAAAACCTGTATTTGCATGTTTATACTGGTTTTACTCATAATTGCCCCAAAGTGGAAACAAACCAAATGTCCTAAATTATGTTAAACCCATCCCGCAGCCTTGTGCTCCGCCCCTGGCGGAGGAAGTGACATCACGGGCCCCATGTGAGCGCACTGCAACACATGCAGTTGCCTGGTCAGAAAGAGCCGGTGTCCTACCAGCCGCTGCTGCCCAGAACTGGGCCCTTAGGGAAGAGGAGGCAAGAAGATGGTGGACGACCCCAGTGCTGTGGACAGGAACGTGGAGTTCTGGAAGATCAAGAAGCTCATTAAGAGCTTGGAGGCGGGCTGGGCGCCGTGGCTCACGCCTGTAATCCCAGCACTTTGAGGCCGAGGCGGGCAGATCACCTGAGGTCAGGAGTTCAAGACCTGCCTGGCCAATATGGTGAAACCCTGTCTCTACTAAAAATACAAAAATTAGCTGGGTGTGGTGGCACATGCCTGTAGTCCCAGCTACTTGGGAGGCTGAGGCAGAAGAATCTTGTGAACCCGGGAGGCTTATGTGGCAGTGAGGCAAGATCACGCCACTGTACTCCAGCCTGGGCGACAGAGCTGTCTCAAAAAAAAAAAAAAAAAAAGGAGCTTGGAGGCAGCCTGCAGCAATGGCACTAGCATGATATCACTGATCATTCCTCCCAAAGACCAGATTTCACCAGTGGCAAAAATGTTATCAGATGAGTTTGGAACTGCATCTAACATTAAGGCAGGAGTAAACCGCCATCCAGTCCTGGGAGCCATTACATCTATACAACAAAGGCTCAAACTTTATAACAAAGTACCTCCAGATGGTCTGGTTGTTTACTGTGGAACAACTGTAACAGAAGAAGGAAAGGAAAAGAAAGTCAACGTTGACTTTGAATCTTTCAAACCAATTAATACGTCATTGTATTGTGTGACAACAAATTCCATAAAGGGGCTCTTACAGCACTACTTTCAGATGACAGCAAGTTTGGATTCATTGTAATAGATGGTAGTGGTGCACTTTTTGGCACACTCCAAGGAAACACAAGAGAAGTCCTGCACAAATTCACTGTGGATCTCCCAAAGAAACACAGTAGAGGCGTTTTGCCCGTTTAAAAATGGAAAAGCGACATAACTATGTTCAGAAAGTAGCAGAGACTGCTGTGCAGCTATTTCTGGGGACAAAGTGAATGTGGCTGGTCTAGTTTTAGCTGGATCTGCTGACTTTGAACTAAGTCAATCTGATATGTTTGATCAGAGGTTACAATCGAAAGTTTTAAAATTAGTTGATATATCCTATGGTGGTGAAAATGGATTCAATCAAGCTACTGAGTTATCTACTGAAGTCCTCTCCGAAGTGAAATTCATTCAAGAAAAGAAATCAATAGAACGATACTTTGATGAAATCACCCAGGACACGCGAAAGTACTGTTTTGGCGTTGAAGATACACTAAAGACTTTGGAAAAGGGAGCTGTAGAAATTCTAATGGTCTATGAAAATCTGGATATAATGAGATATGTTCTTTATTGCCAAGGCACAGAAAAGGAGAAAATTCTCTAACTCCAAAGCAAGAAAAGGATAAATCTCATTTCACAGACAAAGAGACCGGACAGGAACATGAGCTTATCGAGAGCATGCCCCTGTTGGAATGGTTTGCTAACAACTATAAAAAATTTGGAGCTATGTTGGAAATGATCACAGATAAAATGCAAGACGGGTCTCGGTTTGTGAAAGGATTTGGTGGAATTGGAGGTATCCTGCAGTACCGAGTAGATTTCCAGGGAATGGAATACCAAGGAGGAGACAATGAATTTTTTGACCTTGATGACTAGACATGAGTCTGGCAAAACGTGCCTCACCCTCCAGCATCCAACCCAAGAAGCATACCCATGGTGGAATTCTAACAGATCCCTGCCTTACAACTGAAACACTTCCAGAACTTTATCCATGAGTACTGGTTATTGAAAAGATAACTGAAACAAAACCAGACCCAACCCCACACTTTGTTTTGTCATGGTGTCAGCGCAGCAGCCTACAACTAAGTTCCTAAATGCCACTTTGGACTAATTTAAACAAGAATCCCAGTTTTTACTTTTACTCGATGGTGAAATTCGTTGCTCTTGTATTTTATGAAAAAAAAAAAAATTTTTTTAAGCCTTCATATACAGAAGTAAAAATATTTTAACTGCTGTAAACCTTCAAAAGTTAATAGAAGTGAGATCATACTGGTTTTTTTCTTATTTTGATTGGAGAAAAATTAAATTGCTGCATTTCGCAGTGATCCATTTACATGGCATTCCCAGCTTAGACTGCATAAGAAATAGATGTGGTGAAATGTTGGAACCATTTCTCTCTTGGTCTGTTTAATGTTGAAAGGGTGAGCTAATAGGAGGCAATTTCAACTTCACTCCCTCAAGCTACCCTGTCTCCCTCCAGACTGGCAGTTTCAAGGATGCAAACTGCATTGCAAAATCAAACTGACTCATGAAGCATTTGGGCCAGTGCACTGTTTACTTCCATCTGTTTGCTGACACATTTGTGCCCAGCGTTTGGGAGCCCTTTGTATCAACGTTCTGACAAGTGTCCCTATAACCTTAACCTACTCGAAACCAGTTTGGGTTGGATATGATGGGGCTTCTGTGCTATTGCTGGGATTGGGGGAAATAAAACATGCAATTTAAGTGGGGGGAAAAAATCCACCCAAAGGGATACAGGCATCCCTTGGTATACAAGGGGGACTGGTTCCAGGATGCTTGAGGATAGCAAAATCCGAGTGTGATGAAGCCCTGCTTTTCACCCTGCAGAATCTGCATATATGAAAAGTCGGCCCTCCATACATGTGGGCTTTGCATCCAAGGAATACTGTATTTTCCATTTGCATTTGGTTGAGGAAAAAAAAATTCCTGCCTATAAGTGGGCCCACACAGTTCCAACTGTGTTGATTAAGGGTCAACTGTCCTATTAAGCAATACAAAGGAATTAAATACTGGTATATGTACACATGAATAAATCTCAAATGTGTTGTGCTAAGTAGCCAGACGCAAAAAGCTGCATAATATATGGTTCCATTTATTGGGCATCCTGATAAAGACAAAACTATAGGATAAAAACCACAAAGGGGTAGGGGGCTAACTAGAAACAGGCACAGGGCGCTTTTTGGGTTGATGGATTGTTCTACAGCCTGATTCTGGATGTAGATGACTGCAGACTTGCCAAAACCTGTTGAATGCTACCTCAAAAAAAAAAAAGAAATTTTCTCAAAGTTTTAAATGTTATTTTTCCTTTCTTTTTACAGGTGTGGGACCTCAAGTTTTTTAAAAAATCTTCACCCTTACCTCATACATAAAAACTAACTAGAAATGGATCAGAGACCTAAACATAAAAGCTAAAACTACAAAACTTCTAGAATATGAAAAAAAAAACCCAAAAAACAAAACTTTCTCAAGTCCAACAGAGCTTAAAAGTGAAAACAAAAAAAAAAACAACTTTATGATCTTCAGGTAGACAGATTCCTGACACGATACAAAATAAACAAAACAAAAAAAAAAACGAAAAAGTGAACCGAGTTTCATCAAACTTACAAACTTCTTCTGTTCTCTGAAACACAGGAACAACAAAAAAGTCACACTAGGAGAAAATATTCATTAAATACACATCTGAAAAAGGACTTTTATTCAGAATATATAATTCAGTAAGAAGAATCTGATAATCTAGGCAAAAGACTTGAACAGACACTTCACAAACCAAGATATCCAAATTTCCAGTAGGTATATGAAAAGATGTCCACCATTCTTAGTGGGAAATTTCAAATAAAACCACAACCTACCATCTGAGAATAGCTAGAAAGTTAGAAAGGCCGCCAATACCAAGTATCAGGGAGGATGGGCAGGCAGCAACCAAAGCTCTCATGTGCTGCTAGTGGAGGCATAAAATGGTCAAAATGTTTTGGAAAAACAGTTTGGTAGTTTCTCCTAAAGTATACACTTAACATATATGTGACTCAGCAATATCACACCTAGGTATTTACCAAAGAGAAATGACTGTGTGTCCACGAAGACATTTACTCAAAATGCTCATAATAGCTTTATTCTTAATAGTTAAATACTGGGATAACCCAAATATCCACCAATGGGTGATCAGATAAACAAATTAAGGTATATCCATTCAACAGAATACCACTTTGCAATAAAAAGAAATTATACATGCAACACCATGGATGAATCTCAAAAACATTATGCTAACTGACATACAAAAATGAGTATATATTGTATGATTCGATGTATGTGAAATTTTAGGGTAAGAAAAACTAACCCAGAGTGATGGAGAGCAGATCAGTGCTTCCCGGGGAGCTGGGGTAGGGCGTGAGGGACATGAGAGAACTTGTGGGGATGACGGAATGTTTCATATTTTGATAAAGGCAGAGGTTACATAGGTGCATAAATCTGTCAAAACTCATCCAACTCTACACTTAAAATGGATACTTTATTATATGTAAATTACACCTCAATAAACTTGATTTAGGAAAAAAAGATTTTTTTTAAAAGATAATGCATTTACTTTTTTTTTTTTTTTTGAGACAGGGTCTCTATCTGTTGCCCAGGCTGGAGTACAATGGCAGGATCATAGCTCACTGTATTCAAACTGCTGGTCTCAAATGATCCTCTCACCTTGGTCTCTCAAAGCACTGGGATTACAGGTGTGTGTCACCATGCCCAGCCCATTTACTACTTTTTACTAAACAGTATGAGATGGTGGTTATTAGCTATGTGACTTTGGGCAGTTTTCCTGAGTCCTTTTCCTTATCTGTAAATGGACATCATAATGGTACCTATCCTATAACGTGCTTTGTGAGGATTAAATGAAAATGTATACCAAACATCTGGCATGTAGCAAGTGCTCAGCAAATCTCATTATTATTAATATTAGTAATACTATTAGTAACTGCTCTTAGGCAGAAATAATCCGCTTAGGATAAAAAAAGTATTTTCGGAATTATATCTAATAAATTAACCTGAAAGATGACATACAGTAACTATTTCAACTAAAGCCTCAAAATAACACAAGCAAAATAACAAACATACATATACCCCTAAAGCAGAAAATTACTGTTTCATTTACCCACAGCTGAGTGACTGACACCACCCATTTCATGTGCTCATGGTTCTACAGTCAACGCTGGGCTCACTTTTAGTTTACTCTTTGGGGGGCCTTTATCTGGTGGGCTGGTGGTGCTACACAGCTGGGAAGGCGGGGCATTCTCCCTTTCTCTGTGTCTCCTCCTAACATCTACTGCACATCACTTGAGGCTCCCAAGAACACAAAAGCAGAAGCTGCCAACTTCTTAGGGCTTAAAGCCTGGAACTGGCACATCACCATCTCTGCTGCATTCTGCAGGCTCAAGACAGTCACAGGGCAAGCACAGGAATACCAGGAGAGTGCCTCGTTGGGGACTAACAATAGAACAGACACCAGTAAAGCAGACTTGGTTTGTAAACGGCAGAAAAAAGACTGCAGACTCACCTGGCTTATAAATGGAATGAAACCTGAATCACCACTGTTAAAAGGCTGGAAAAACAATGAACCGCATAAAGGTTTCTATGTGTTCCTTACATGACACACAATGCCAATCATATGCTTAACAATCGTATGCACCCACTCTAGTAAGAAATGTGTAGCTCCCCCTATGGCAGGATTGGTGGTTGTTGCTTTTTCGAGAGGGAGGGGTGATATGTGTTGTATTGTGTGTGTCTATGTATATTACACACACACATATATATAGTGTCACTAAGGAAGTGTTTTGAAAAGATGTTTACGATTCTAATTGGAATACCAATCCCCACATGTCCGTCATATAGAGTCAGATGAGAGTGTGTGATGCAGAACATACACATCTTAATTATTGTACAGAACCTAAAAAGTGAGACACCGTTAGAGTTTACGGAACATTCTCACATGAATTATCTCGCTTGTTCCTGTGAGCTAAGCAGGGTTGACATCATGTTGTTCTTTCTCACACCCCTTCCCCAATTTTAAAAATAGATGCTGGGAGATTTTAAAAAAAAGAAAAAATTAAACTGCAATTATTATTATTATGACAAAGACAAGGCAGAAAAAGTAAAACTAGTTCATAAAAATACCCTTTCAAATACTTATAGGTAACCCTATTGCCAATTATTATGCTACCAGATATATACCACTGAGGAAAATAAGAAATACGTTTAATTATATAACATGAAGGACTCAGTTTCATAAATGAAGAATTTTATTAACAGGATTATTAAACTAAAGAAAAATAAAGTGCTACCCAGAAAGGCCATAAAACTGTTTCCCTGGAGATTTTCAAAACAGGATATTCATCTCTACAGGATGGTTTAAAGACAAAGCTGAGGTGGAAGGCAACAATAATAGCCCTGATAAACTGCAGGAAATTAAATGTTTAGCAACAATGAAGAATGAGTTTTCCTAGAACGGTGGCCAATCTGGAGAGAAGACCTGGGATACAGGTGAGGGTGGGAAAGAGCTAGAGAAAAGCAAAGACAAAAATTCTCTATTTCTTAACATATTAAAGAACATGAAATTTAAGAATGATCAAAACTAGTAATAACACAGTATGAGGAAAATGAGATATGAAATAGAGTATACTCATCCGTCAGCCTGAATGGTTAAAACCATTCATATTTTATAAAGATAATTTCTTCAAAAGTTCTTAAAATCTGCGCTGACCTCATTATCAACACCAATTCACTCCTCACAGTATCTGGGCTGTCTAATATGGCAGCCAGTAGCCATACATGGACAGTAAGTACCTGAAATGTGCTCAGTTCCGACTGAGATGTGTCACAGTGTAAGTATGACAAATGTACAAATATCAACAATATCCATCACATGTTGAAATAACATTTTGGACATACTGAGCTAAATTAAGTATATTAATTTCACTTATTTCTTTTTACTTAATATGCCTACTGGAAAAATCTAAAATTACATTAGGTTATATTTTTAGTTTTTTTTTTTTTTTGAGACCTCAGCCTCCCACTTTTGTAGAGACAGGGTTTCGCTGTGTTGCCCAGGTTGTTCTGGAGCTCCTGAGCTCAAGTGGTCCTCTCACCTTGGGTCCCAAAGTGCTGGGATTCTAGGCGTGAGCCACTGCACCAGGCCAGATTGTTTCCATTGGGCAAGGCTGCTCTGTACCCTTGTTTAAGGGAATAGGATCATATTATTTGTATAAATTTAGCTCCCTAAATTTGTGCTCCAGAAATACTTCCATAGAAGTCTAAAAAAATTGGAAGGTAGGCTCATTTTGTGTACAGCTCAATTTTTTAGGACACTGCTCATACAGAAACATGGTTAGATTAAGAAAGCAATTTATTATTATAAAACATATTCACACATTTTTGTAGCACTCTTATGCAGAATGAAAAGATCTAGAGAAAGAGTCCAACTCCCCCTCCCAGCAAGCAGGAATGACAAACATCCTTGTAGTAAGACACTGCCTGCCTGAGTGGGCAACGTGAGCGTGTGGGGCCACCCGGGCCCAGCAACCTCATTTGTCTCTGGGGCAACAATCCTGCGGTGTGAGGGTATGCTTGGTCAAATCCTTGGGTGACACAAGGACCCAGGGCCAGCAAACCCTCAGAACCCTACTTGTAGGCACAGCCACCTGTCTTCGGGACCATGGGAACTGTGCCCTGTGTGGGTGGTCGCTAGGGCCTCTGTGGCCAGAAAGCAAGGAAAGTGTGTGGATCTGGCAGGTGCATAAATAAATCTGGTCCACCCCTTAAACTTGCTCCTGTTCCATCATTTCTGATTTTAGCCAATGGCAACATGACCTACTCAGGCACTCACATGAGAAATCTGAAGGCTACTTCACAGCTTCCACATTGGTCTTGCCCATTCTCCCTCTAAGGAAATCTCCCATGTGCGTCCTCTTCATCTCATCTACTCTGCGCCTTGGCTGGTCTTCCCATTTCTACTCCCTTACCACCCCTCCCACTTCACAGAACAGCAGGAGGATGGAAGCCAGGATCAGCACACTACAGACCAGGGGCCAAATTTGGCCTACAGCCTGTTTTGGTTTTGTACAGTCTATGAGCTAAAAATGTTTTTTTCATCTTTAAGTGGTTGGAAAAAGAAACAGTATTTCATGATACTGAAAATCAGATGAAGTTCAAGTGTTATATCCATAAATAAAGTTTTACTAGCACACAGCCACACCCACTCGTTGATGTATTGTCTGTGGCTGCTTCCGTCCTACAAAGGCAAAGTAGAATAGCTGCAAGAGAGGCTACATGGCCTGCCCTGCAAAGCTTGAGATATTTACTATCTGGCCTTTTACAGAACAAGTCTGCCAGTCCCTGGTATAGATCATCGTCTTATTTGTTGCTTAAAACCCTTCAGTCACTTCCCACAGTTTCTAGGAAAAAGTCTAAAACTTTTCACAGAGCAGACAAAACTGTTCTTGAAGGACAGTTGGCAAACACATGAGTCCCGACCTCTCTCATTACTCACACCTCACCCTTCTCATTCACTCAGTGAGCCACACTGCCTTTCCTTTAAAGACAATTCTCCCACCACCCCCATCCCCACTTGATGATCAAGTTAGCCCTGCCTTTGATTATTTCTCTCAAACACCTATCCCAACTGTATTTAAGTAACAATCGTGTAGTAGCTGATTAAAGACTGCCTGCTCTGGAGCCACTGCCTGAGTTCAAAATCCTGGCTTTGTCACTTAACAACAGTTTGACATTGGGCAAGTCACATAAACTTTTTGTACTTCAGTTTCCTTATCTGCAAAATAGGTGTAACAACTGCACCTACCCGAGTTTAAAGGCTATTAATACATGTGCATTAAGATTGTACCCCATAACAGTAAATGCTTCAAAAGCACCAACAATTATTATTCTCAGTAGCAGGAACAAGTTCCTGTGGCTCTCAACTAGACTGAAGCTCCTTGAGGGCAAGGATTATAACTGTCCTAGCTTTTGTGACTGGTACAAAGTAGAGCATTTATTCAAATGCTTAATGAACACCTAATTTGAATAACACATAACACTCACAAACTGTCCTCTTCAACCAACAGTTGCAGTGATTCAATCTTTGGGGGCCTGGCCCAAATGTTCTCTTTCAAACAAATGCCAAATGTGATTGAGATTTTAAAGCCAGCAAAATACAGGTGCAGTGGCTCAGCCTGTGATCCCAGAACTCTGGGAGGCTGAGGTGGCTGGATCGCTTGAGTCCAGGACTTCGAGACCAGTCGAGGCAACAAGTAAGACCTCATGTCTACAAAAAAATAAAAAAATAGCCAGGGCATGGTGGCACACACCCATAGTCCCAGCTGCTCGGGAGGCTGAGGCGGGAGGATCCTTGAGGCTGGAAGGTTGAAGCTGCAGTGTGCCGAGATCGCGACATTGCACTGCAGCCTGGATGACACAGTGAGACTCCGTCTCAAAAAATAAAAAATAAAAAAAAAAATAAAGCTAGCAAAATAGGCAGACACATTTATATCTAAGACACAGAAGTCTTAGAAAAGCATTTCATCTCATAAAACTGTATTAACTGTAAAAGCCCATATTTGCATCCCCATTCACAAATTATGTACTATGCCATCAGGTAGTTATTAACATTCAACTCTCAATCCTGCAAAAGGTGGGATGGTGTATCTTGCTAAAACACCAACTTCTCTTTCAAATGTCCATGAGGAGTCCTTCTGCAAACATGTAAGCACAACAAAAAGAGAAATGCGGGAGAGAAAGACTCAATTCTACTACAGATAAGACGCAAACCAAGCAAGCATGACACTTCGGAGTGAATTCTATCACTATCTTTAAACTGCCCTGCTTTCTTAACTTGCCCATAAGAGCACAACGTAAAGGCTTTTCTAGCACTTCCTGTTCTAAACTAATACCAGTTTAGATTTAAAGCTCCAATCCTACAGGAACTCCTTTTTTTTTTTTAATAACCAGAAGCCCAACATATATTGAAGAAAATTAAAATACTAAAATAGTATTCCAGAACCTTTAAAATGTTAGATTTCTTTTTTTTTTTTTGAGATGGAGTCTTGCTCTGTCGCCCAGTGGCGCGATCTCGACTCACTGCAACCTCCCCCTTCGGGTTCAAGTGATTCTCCTGCAGGCCTCAGCCTCCCTAGTAGCTGGGATTACAGGCGCCCACCACCACGCCCAGCTAATTTTTGTATTTTTAGTAGAGACAGGGTTTCGCCAGGTTGGCCAGGCTGGTCTCGAACTCCTGACCTCAGGTGATCCACTCGCCTTGGCCTCCCAAAGTGCTGGAATTATAGGCGAGAGCCACTGCGCACAGCTGATTATATTTAAAAATCAATCCAGCAATTCATGTTAAAAGGACTCAGCAGTTTGCATTCTCACAGTTAGCAAGAATGACGTGACGAAGATAGACCGTGAGTACTGTATCAATGTTAAGATTTCATTTGGTACTTCAGAATAAATTAGAACTAAGAATGAAGGTTCCTTCAAGTATGATCCCTAAAGATTTCATAATACTCTCACTTGCACAATCATGTGCAAGTTCAGTTCTGATTTATTCAAGTAACTAAGAACAATCCAGCCATGGACACTATTACAGTTGTTTGCGAACTTGTTATTCTGAATCTTCACCCAAGAAAAGCATTGTGCATCTCTGACCTTCCACAATCACAGGTAGAGGTGGCAGTGTCTCATTCTGTGATAAAGTTGCTATTTTTACTTGTGTACTCCTCCCCACCTTCATCCTGATACTCGTATTTAAAAACTATATTATTAGTATATGGGTCTCTGGTATCCTGCTACTCTTTGCAATTTTCACTACTCTCTGGGAGCCTCGCCATCACCAGGTCCAAACACAACTCATCCAAAAATGCAACACAATCAGAGGCCAAACCAATAGGCACACAGATATCATAACTCTCCTGATGTTCTCTGGCCTCCCTCGTGCTTCCTTCCATTCTAACCACGCCAAGTTCTTTCCTGCCTTGCCATCTTTGTCTCTCACAACGCTACAGGGCCTCTCCTAGGAGGCTCTTCTAACACTGTGGGAACCATATCGCTGTGAACAGCATTTAGGATGCAGTCACTGTCAATTCGATTTTGCACAGCAGTGAACAAGATCCTAGCTTACAACAGTTTAATGGTTCTCAAAGGGTGGTCTGTGGACCTCTAAGGGGTTTACCAAAATCTTTTCAGGGGTCTCATGAGGTCAAAACGATATTCATAGCAATATTAAGTTATCATTTGCCTTTTCCACAAAGTTCCCATTTGTACTAAGGGTGCAAAAGCAATGGTAGGGAAAACTGCTAGCTCGGCACCCCTTGGCATGAATCAAAAACAGTAGTTACAAACTGAGTGGTAAGTCACTGTATTCTTTACTACCATGCATTCACAGTGGGAAAAGAGCTGTTTCTACTTAACAGTGTCCTTGAAAAAGCAGTAAAATTATATTAAATCTTGACCCTTTGGTACCTGTCTTTTTAATATTCTGCACGACAAAATGAGATGTACACATAAAGCACCTCTGTTACATACTGAAGTATGATGGTTGTTTCCAAAAAAAGCACTTGTGCAGTCATTTGAGAAGTGATCTGAACTGGCCACTTTTATCATGGAATGCCTTTTTTACTTGCAAGAATGATGACAAACTATCATTATTGCAAATGTGAATAGCTGGCAGACATTTTCTTGGAAATTAAAGAAACAAAACAGTCAATTCAAGTAAAAACTGGTAGCATGTTGCCAAGGAAATTATTTGAACTCAAGGAGGAAATTAGAATTTTGGAAAACTTGCACCACTCATAGCGAACAGTGTTCTAAAACTTAAGACTTTGCAGAGATTGGTGGTGATATTAACAAATGTGATTTTTAAAAATGCTTGTATAATAAAATGTGTCAACATGTGGAAGATCTGCGTAACGATGAACAAATATTTTCCAAATGACCAGTAACGCTACAAAACCAGGCATGGTAGAAGATCCATTCCAAGTATAAAGCAGACCTGCGGAGTTGGGCAAATTCATCAATATGATTTCAGATTGCATAGTGTAACTATTCTTTGCAAACTATCACTTATGAAGTTTCGGTATCAAAGAATATTCAACTACCTGAAAAACTATTCAAGTACTCCTTACTTCATTAAAATAACGTTAAGGGAATGAATTCAGGAGCAGAGATGAGAATCCAGCTGTTAAGACATTAAAAGATACCTGCAAAACCGTGAAACACCTTATCAAAATTGCAGTTGCTTTTTTGGCAGAAACTGGCAATCTAGTCCTAAAATTCAATATGGAAATGCAAGGGACTGAGAATACCCAAAAACATCTTCAGAAATAATAAAGTTAGAGGACTCATATGCCCCTATTTAAAAACCAGCTACAAAACTACAGTAATCAAGATCGTATGGTACTGGCAGGACAGACATACAGATCAATGGAATGAGTGAGTTCTTCTATTGACGGTCACTTCATCTCGGACAAGGGAATTCAATGAAGAAAGAACATTATTTTAACAAAAGAAGCTAGGGCAACTTGATATCCACATGCAAAAGTATAAAGTTCTATCCCTCCCTCACATCATATACAAATATTAACCACAAATAGATCACAGATCTAATGTAAGAGTTAACAGGATAAAATATCTAGAAGAAAATATAGTAGTAAATCTATATGACCTTGGATTAGGCAATGGCTTCTAAGATGTGACACCAAAAGCATAAGTGGCAGGAGAAAAATAGATATATCGGCCTTCAAATTAAAAACTTTCTGCTTTGAAGGACACCATCGAGAAGGTAAAAGGACAACCCACAGACAGGAGAAATTATTTGCAAATCCTATGATACCACTTCACACCCAATAGGATGGCTAAAATGAAAAAGGCAGTGTAACAATTGTTGACGAGAATGTGGAGAAAATTAAACCCTCATACATTGCTGATGGGAATATAAAATTGTGCAGCTGTTCTGGAAAAAATCTGACAGTTCTTCAAAATATTAAGCACAGAGTTAACCATAATGACCCAGCAATTCCACTCCTAGGAATGTACCCAAGAGAAATGAAAACATGTCTACATAAAAGCTTGTACAGGAATGTTCAAAACATTATTATTCATAGTAGCCAGAAAGTAGAGCTCCAAGTGGTGTCTCACACCTGTAATCCCAACACTGGGAGACTGAGACCAGAGGATTGCTTGAGGTCAAGAGTTCAAGACCAGCTTGGGCAACAAAGCAAGGTTCCCACCTCTACAAAAAAATAAAAAAACTAGCTGGGTGTGATGGCGCACACCTGCAGTCCTAGCTACTCGGGAAGCTGAGGCAGGAGGATCACTTGAGTCCAGGAGGTTGACACTGCAGTGAGCCATGATAGCTCCACTGCACTCCAGCCTGGGCAACAGAGCAAGACCCTGCCTCAGAAAAGTAAATAAATAAAAAATAATAGCCAAAAAAAAAAAGAAAGAAAAGAAACCACCCACATATCCAATTGACAAATGCATAGAAAAAATGTGGTATACTCACATGACAGAATATTAGTCAGCACTAAACAGGAAGAAGCGACATATGCTACAACATGAACGAACCTTGAAAACATTATACTAAGTAAAAGACGCCAGCCCCAGAAGACCACATATGTATGTTCTTATTTATATGAAATGTCCAGAGTAAGTAAATTCATAGAAACAGAAAGATTAGTGGTTGCCAGGGGCTGACAGGGAAGCAGGATGGAGAGTGACTGCTAATGAGTACAGAGTTTCTTTTTGGGGTGATGAAGTACAGAGAGATATAACCCATATGGACAGCAAAATAACATTTGGCACTGGAAAGCCATAATCAGAAATCTGAATTCTGATTATGCTCTTGTGCAGAACAATGAATGAGACTGAAAAACAGTAATTTCAAGTTTCAATACAAAGTGGGCACTTCAGGACTACCCCCACCCACAAGTATACAACATCAGAATATTAAGCACCTGAATATACAATTTCACATACTGGTAGATGTCATACATAGCAAATATTGTTTTGCCTTTCAATTTTTCAATAAAAAGTGTCAACAAATGATAGGTTAACTTAAAAAATAAACAGTAAGTCAGAATCTGCTGGGAACAACCAAATATTTAATGACATCTTTCCTCATGAAGACTCTAAATACTACCTAAACATTTTGACAAAGTAATAATTTGAGTACTTTTGCTGAATTGCCTTCTTCCAAACCACAAAGCTGTTTCATTTTCCCCCTATGATCTTTCACATGCCTGTGATCCCATCCCTCTTATTAACTGTATGTAAGAGGCTTATATATGACAACCAGCTTTTAATTATGGTCTAATGGTAAACTAGGTTACCAAAGCTCTCTGTACAGGTAAAATCCCAGTGAAAGATGTACCAGGCTGAAGACAGTTTACGTAACACTACCATTTTAAGTTGAGTTACTTCCTATCGCGGGACTACTCCGTTGTGGTAGAAATAACGGAATGTCAGGGAGCTGGTACTTTTGGCCATCACGGCAACAGTTAATACAAAGCACTCCCTGAAAGCCAGACTCCCAGAGTTATAGGTGACGTGTCCTTAAAAGCTTTAACATTGTAAATACCAGGAAAAGTACAGGGGACTGGCAGGGAGAATTGTATAGACTACCTGAGAATTATATTTTACCTATTGGTAGTTCTGACAACACTCAAAAAAAAAGAAAAAAAGAAAACGGAAAGCCAAGTAGTGGGCTGGGTGCAGTGACTCATGCCTGTAATCCCAGCACTTAGGGAGGCCGAGGCAGGTGGATCACGAGGTCAGGAGTTCAAGACCATCCTGGCCAAGATGGTGAAACCCAGTCTCTACTAAAAATACAAAAATTAGCTGGGCGGGGTGGCAGGCGCCTGTTATCCCAGCTACTTGGGAGGCTGAGGCAGGAGAATCGGTTGAACCTGGGCAGCAGAGGTTGCAGTGAGCCCAGATCCCGCCACTGCACTCCAGCCTGGGTGATAGAGTGAGACTCTGTCACAAAAAAAAAAAAAAAAAAAAAAGAAAGCCAACTAGTTAAACAAACATAGCACTTTTTTGTTTTATCTGAAGACAACTTTAAAAATAAAGTTTGTGGCATGACAAATCACAATGACAAGTATCCTACTAGTCAAACTGGCTTAATGTATTTAATCAAGAGAACATTCTAAGAAAGGTGTGGAGGCTTTTTATGTGGCTCTACCCCCAGAATATAGGACAAACAGCTCAGCATCACAAAATACCACAATCTAGAAACACAGGTACTCAAATTTCTCTGGTACAGCACCACCATTTGCAAGCAAACATGCCAGTAAGCTCCCAGAAGTGAGCATGCTGAGTAATTCTCAAAAGGGTGGCTTACTAGAAGAAACCTGCTGGCAAAACCTAATCTCCTTCCCCTAAAAAAGACCCCACATACTACAAAATATCCTGGCTCATAATACACTTTAAAATCAAATGCGGCTGGGCATGGTGGCTCACGCCTATAATCCCAGCACTTTGGGAGGCCAAGGTGGGAGGACCACCTGAGGTCAGGCGTTTGAGACAAGCCTGACGTTTGGCCAAGTGGTGAAACCCGTCTCTACTAAAAATACAAAATTAGCCGGGCATAGTGGTGCACGCCTGTAGTGCCAGCTACTCTGGAGGCTGAGGCAGGAGAATCGCTTGAGTCCGGGGCGTGGAGGATGCAGTGAGCCGAGATCGCGCCATTGCACTCCAGCCTGGGTCACAAGAGCGAAACTCCGTCTCGGAAAAAAAAAAAAAAAAAAATCAAATACAAGATTGGGAGCAACTTAACCTCTCCAAAATCGTTTAATATGACTACGCTTGAAAATAAATATGGAGAAGTGGGGTAGGTTGCAGAAATATGAAATACTGAAGACAGAAAATAGGGACTAAAAGTGACCCTGTATCCCACCGGAGACTAAGTTAGCACAGTATTTAACAAGCAACAGTTTGTGAGGACAAGGCTAAGGGGTGGCCTGTCACATCTCCGTCCTCAGGAGGACGCTGAATAGAGGGAAGATAAAACAGAATGGATTTCAACTGGACATAAGGAACTTCTGTAGCCAAAAAAAAAAAAAAAAAAGTGATAAAACTAGCCCTGCTCACCAAAGACTAGAGCTACCATTTCGACATTTGAAAAGGGTAAATCAGTCAAGATCTTTAGGTCATTCTCTTGGGTTGAAATCAGGTAGCCGAGGTACTTGTTGCCTATAACGTGATTATTCAGGGACTACTATTTCCAAATAGTTGCCAATAAGTACTTACTTGACTGACTAGGGAAGGCTCACCCAAGAGCCAGAACACCTCGCGGTCCCAACTCCTCAAAATGCAGAGGAGGAAATCAAGAGAACAGAGACAAGAGCATGGATTCAGGCTGCCAATAAAGGCTGGATCCCAGGTTCCATGTTGATATTTGAACAATTAGTGACTTTGAACCCCTCCATTTGATTCATGGTTACTTCCTGGCTGCAGCTGTTAAAGCTGCCACCTATGCATCCCCTCGGATTCAGCACCGCATCGCACAAGAGTTCCCCTACGACTCTAGGCACCCCGCATCTCTAGCCAAGCTTCTTTCAGCCCTTAATTTCCCCCCGGCTCTCGACGGAGAGGTGGTAAAAGGATGAGTAAGCATGCAGTGGCTGATCTTGGTCAAAGAGCACAGACCCTGGCACAGGCGGTGGAAAGCGCAGTTGGGGAGTGCATCCAGTGAGCGGCAGGCAGGTACAAGCTTCCCATGACAGATAGTCACCCCGTTCCGCAATCACGGGAGCCTCGGAACCCTCGCTTTCACCTCCCCATCCCCTCAACTGTGGCCCGGTGCACGCCTTCTATAGACAGTTACTTCAAAACAGCCCGAAAAGATGAACTAATTTCTCCAGGCTTCCGGATGTCGGGAGACAATACAGCCTCACCCTGAAGCGTGTCTAAGTTCAATCGCTCTGGTTTCACACAGGCCAGAAAACCGCTCGTTCTGTAACACCCCGTCCGCCCCCCAACCCGACCCTAAGCCACCTTATTCAGCAATAAGGCGACTGCTAGGAACTGTTTCAAATGTATGTCAACCTTTTGGGGGAAGAAAAAGAAAACAAAAAGACTTTGGAATTACTTCAACAGCCTGGTTGCAAGTACCTGACCTTATTCCTTCCCGAACAAAAATAGGGCACCGAGAGATCAGACATTCCTTTTTCTCTGTCTTCCTACCCAGGCCGCCAGCAGCATCTCGAGGGCCTCCAGAGGGACCTCTTTTGGGGGATCGCCTAGGTTTCCTATGCAGAAAACTTGCGTTCAGTGCCCAAACGTCCTCTAAATCCCTAGTTTTCTTTACAAGGGTAAACTTCACCACAGATGGAATGAAGCCGAGGCGCTGCTTCCTTTGTTAAAATCCCACGGACTTTCTTTTCCTTACATCGGGGGCGGGGTGGGGGAGACCGCCAGCCCCGGTCACGCGCGCCCGCGGCGAAGGCGGGGAGGCAGGTGTGACTCCCTCGCGGCAGCCTCTAGCGCGGCTCCCCGGCGCCGCCTCACTTCCCCAGACGAGACCCGGACTCCTCGGCGGCCGACGGCCCCCGCCCCGCGCCTCCCACGCCCTCCGCCCGGCCGCCACCTGCCCGCCCGGCCCGCGGAGGGCGCCCAGCTACCGCGGCTCCTCCACCGGCGCGGACGCCGCCCCGACCGCCACCACCTCCGCTCAGAATGGTGGTTACGAAACGCGCGGCCCCCGCCCGCCCCGCCACATGGCCGCGCCGGCTCCAAACTTCGCAGGCCCGGCCGCGACCCGGCTCCCAGGCGAGGCCCCGGCGGCGCGAGGAGGCCGCGCGGCCACCGGCCACTCACCCACAGACCGGTAGCCCAGGATCGCGATCTTCCGGGACTTGGACTGCGGCATCTTGGCGGCCTCCTCAGCCCCGGCCCAACCACATCAACCGCGGCGGCGGTGGCTCCTGCTGCTGTGATCGGCGGCGGCCGCGCCGGGAGAGAGCGGCATACAGAGCAGGGGCGGCGGCGGGCGCGGCTGCCTCTCGCTCGCTAGCTCGCGCGCTCCCAACCGCCCGGAACCGACCGCGCGGCGGCGCCCCTCCCCCCCACAACACGCCCACGTGACCGGCCGGCGTCAGCACCGCCCCTCTTCGCGCCGTGGCCCGCCGCCTCCGCCCCCCGAAATACGCGGGGGGTGCGTCGGGGCGACGTTTTACTTTAAAGGCAAAAAAAGGGGACGCCGCGATGCCCCCAGAAAAGTCACGACTGAAACTCGCTGCGTCATGACCCTCCCACCTTCTTCCGCCGCTTTTTAATTACGCCATTCTCCCCGAGCGCCGATTGGACAGCTCCTGCACAGCCGCGCGATGACGTGTCGGAAACTCCATCTCCCATTGGGGGAAACAAGGAGGCGGGGAGGGGGGGGCGGGGCTGCCCGCCCGGGAGCTAAAAATACACCTCGCTGCTACCGCGCTGTTGGGCGCCGGCTAGGTTTGAAGGCTTCAAACTTCCAACCGGTTAGGGGCGGGCGGGAGAGGCGGAGAGACAAACGGTGGCTCCCTGGTGATTGGCCAGAACGGAGCGCAGGGCGGGGCAATAGGTGGGAGGTGCGGTGATTGGCGAAACGCTAAGCGGTTGGCGGGTTCGCGCCCGCTGAGCCCGTGAAGGGCGCGAGGCGCGTGGCCTGGGCGGGTGGGCTGGCTCCTCCCTCGGGGTTTTTTGAAAATTCTCCTTGAGCTGCGTTAGCGTTCGTGTCTGGGTTTGAGGATGTAGTGGTGACTAAGCGTCACCGACGGCCGAAGGACTGTGGGAAGCATGGAGTCTGCGTTAATTCAAAGTGTTAGGAATTTCATTAAAAACAGGGCGAGCCTCGTCAGTTCTGGTGTCCGCTTCGCTTCGCGCGGAGCTCGGCGCACCTCCTGGAACAGCGCCGGGGCGGGAAGCCGGTTCTCCGCCAGCACCGGGGCGGCTGGTGCGGCGGGCAGGCCCGAGCCGGGTGCCAGGAACGCCTCGGGCCGCGGTGTGGACGGGCGGAGACCGTGGTGTGGGCACAGCCTTCCCAGGGGTGCAGTGCAGAGGGGCGCGGGAAGGGAAGCCCGGCCGGGAACGCAGGTGCCGTTGAGGGACCAGCCTGCAGGCAGGCCCGGCGTGGTGGCTGCTGGAGGGCTTGGCACTTGCCGAGTTAGCAGAGACTCCGCCGCGCCGGGGAACCCGCCCCTATTCTGCCCAGGCTGTTTGGCAGTGGGGACCTGCAGAGGCCGGGCATGGCCCTTCGCCCTTTGCCAGTGATCGGTGGGGAGGAATGAAGCCAGGGGAAGCTGAGTGGCAGGCCTTGTATTCCAGCGTAGGAAGGTTTAGAGGTGACTGGAGTCGACTTGGAACACCCAACCCAAGAGCGACTCCCTCCAGCTTTCCCACGGAAGCACTCCGATGAGGGGCTGGGGTGTGCATTCTTGTCCTCGGGGATCTACAGATGGAAGCCCCAGGCAGCCAGCCAGAAGTGATCAATGTCTGGAAGTTCTATGTTTCCATGAAATGTTGAGGTTTACGCTATAGTTATTTTAAGTATTTTAAAATAAAGGTCTTAAAATGCACTCTCCTGTAAAATGTGTCGTTTTTATCCTGTGGATTCGGATACCCTCACCACGGTGTTTTTGAACAGATGCTACTAAATTCCTTGCATTATAAAATCAGTTTAGTTTTACCTTTTTTTAAAAAAAATAGAACAGAATAGAAAACTGCGTTATGCATAGTAAGGGTAAGTATGTGTCCTCATTAGTACAGTGGTGAGTTAAAAAAATGAGTAAGGGTAAGTTTGTGTAAGTGCACGTGTAGATATATATGTTTATAGATATGCTATATATGTATTATTGCATGTTGGGATTTACTGTAGTTTCTTTCTTTTTTTTTTTTGAGACGGAGTCTCTCTCTGTCGCCCAGGCTGGAGTGCAGTGGCGCAATCTCGGCTCACTGCAAGCTCCGCCTTCCGGGTTCGCGCCATTCTCCTGCCTCAGCCTCCCGAGTAGCTGGGACCACAGGCGCCCGCCACGACGCCTGGCTAATTTTTGTATTTTTAGTAGAGATAGGGTTTCACCATACTGGCCAGGATGGTCTCGACCTCTCGACCTCATGACCCGCCCGCCTCGGCCTCCCAAAGTGCTGGGATTACAGGCGTGAGCCACCGTGCCCGGCCTCATTGTAAAGTTTCTTACAGTGGGTTGCTTCAAAAAGTTTGAAAGCACTGCCCTAGCCTGAGAATATTGGTAATCCAGATGTGAAGCACAGTTGTAAAGGACAAATTCATTCAAAAAGTTTTCCAGGCTGGGCGCGGTGGTTCACACCTGTAATCCCAGCACTTTGGGAGGTCGAGGCAGGCGGATCACGAGGTCAGGAGTTCCAGACCAGCCTGGCCAACATGGTGAAACCCCGTCTTTACTAAAAATACAAAAATTAGCCAGGCGTGGTGGCACATGCCTGTAATCCTAGCTACTCAGGAGGCTGAGGCAGGAGAATTGCTTGAAACTGGAAGGCGAGGTTGCAGTGAACTCAGATAGCGCCACTGCACTCCAGCCTGGGCAAAACAGTGAGACTCTGTCTCAAAAAAAAAAAAAAAAAAGTTTTCCAGTTGCTGTCTTCAAGCCCTTTAATGTAGGATCCAAAGGTTTAGAAGATTCCTTTATTCTAGAGTGGGGAGAATTTGTTTGGTTTGAAAAGTGACTTAGCCAGCCTGGGGAACATGGAGAAAAGCTGTTTCTACAAAGAAATACAAAAAAAAAGCCGGGCGTGGTGGAACCTGCCTGTAGTCCCAGCTACGTGGAGGGCTGAGGTGGGAGGATCACTTGACCCCAGGAGGTCGAGGCCGCAGTGAGCTGAGATGGTGCCACTGCACTTCAGCCTGGGTGACAAAGTGAGACCTTGTCTTAAAAAAAAAAAAAAAAAAAGAAATGGCTCAGATTACCTAAAATAGTAGGGACTCATTGTCTGAATTCACATGGAAATACCTGACTGCAACCAGACAGCAACAGTGTTGGAAGAAATGGACTTGCTTTTGTATTCAAAGTAGCTCCCTTATTGGTGGCTAACTCAGTCACCTTTGACTTTGCAGCAGCTGGAAGGTCTGCTGCCACCAGTCAGCTTCTCCTCAGCAGGTCCTGCTTGTTCGGGAGTGCTCGAGTCCTCAGCCTGCTGCCTTCTCTCTGTGTGTACTTCCACTTCTGTTCCCTTTCCCTGCGAACTAAGAACTATGTGTCTTCTGTTAAGTTCCCAGAGAGAGAACATCATCGGTTCTGTTAATTCCCATCATCCCTTGAGTGAGGAGCTCATGCTAAGCATGTAGATTGTCCAGAGGGGTCTCTGCTGACCTACACCTCTGACGGCTGGTGGTTATGGAAGTTCTTTGAAATTTGGACATCTGATATTATGGGGTTTGTATTAACTTTCCATGAGCACTTCCAAGCCCAGTATCTGATTTCTAGTTCCAACATATTTGTTTTAAGTACCAGAGATAACATACAAAACCTTTTCCCCCTACCACTGGGTTACACCAAGGTCAGAGTAAAAAACCACTGCTGTGATTGTTTTTACCAAAAGGACATTCTTTTATGTGGAAAAGGGTGACCCCAATGAAAGTAGACATTAAGGAGTTTTGTGGTTTGGTTTGGTTTTTAAAAATATTTGATGAGGGAAGAATGGAGAAGAACCAGAATCCTCTTGATCTTGGCATAAGCCAAATCAGACTGAACTGTTATGTCTCACACTGGTGTCATTCCAAATCAAACAATGCATGCAAAGGTTATTCTATTATGTGGTCATCTTATTGGAGTCAAAGGGGCAGGTCCTTTGTGGATGGAAGAGGGGTTTCCTTGGTGGGGAGTTGACTGTCCTGTCCGCAGCGTTGTAGGATGAAAGCCATCCTGGGAAAGGTGAATTCCCTGAATTTCACTGGGAGGAAGGTAAATCCTGCCCTCTCTGACATACGGGATCAGTTTGGTCTGAACTCTGAGGTATGGAGTTGCATGGAGTCCTCCCAGAAGAGGGAATGTGGAGTAAGCCAGCCCTAAGGCCATGCAGGTAGGGCATGTTTGAGAGAGGGCTGGCTCAGCAAAGAACTCTGAGGACAGGTCTGGGGTTATACAGTAGTTGTAAATTGTTCTCAACTGTTCTCAATTGTTACAGGTTGAATTTGTCCCCCGCCAAAAGATATGTTGAAGTCCTACCCTTTCAGAATGTGACCTTATTTGGAAATAGGCCATTGCAGATGTAATTAGTTGAGATGAGATCATATTGGAGTAGGGTAGGCCAATCCAGTATGACTAGTATCTTCATAAGAAGAGACACAGACATGCAAGAGATGGTCAACGTGAAGACCAAGGTGGAGACTGGAGTGACGTCTTAAGCTAAGGAACTCCTGGGGCTACCTGAACCTGGAAGAGGCAAGGAAATGTCCATTCCTAGTGACTTCAGAGGGAACACGGCCCTTCTGACACTGATTTCCGGCTTCCGGCTTCCAGAACTGTGAACAAATTTATCTTGTTTTAAGCCACCCAGTTTGCGGCACTTTGTTATGGCAGCTATAGGAAACTAACACATTAACTGTCCTCAAATTTTCAAGAAAGTTTCATTAAAAGTTCAAATCTGGTTTCTGCTGGGCTGTGAATGAAGTTGGCTTCTCCCATCCCCAAGACCAGGATGTTCCTAGTAGGAGCCTTCACCAGCAGCAGGCTGCCAAGCCCAGCAATCTCCTGAGGTTGCTGGTAGCAGTGGCCAGGCAAAATGGTTGGAGCAGAACACACACGTAGGACCTGTTCCTAAGAACCCATGCAAAGGCACCTGGGAGACAC
Organism: Homo sapiens; assembly: GCF_000001405.40. NCBI lineage: Eukaryota > Metazoa > Chordata > Mammalia > Primates > Hominidae > Homo > Homo sapiens. The sequence continues at coordinate 151,524,442 of NC_000007.14, forward strand.
GCAGGAAGGGCCAGGAGGCCCCTTCCTTGCAATAAAACAGGTGATGGCTCGTGCCTGCACAGCTTGGATTACATGTGATCCTCAGATGCGTCTTAGATGTGGATTTAGTCACGGGGTTAGCAAGCCACTGAGAGATATGCTAATAATTAACATTTGAGGGACGTATTCACTATCGGTTCATCCGCCTATGTGAAGAGTTGTCTTATTCAGCATATTGGGCTCCAGAGAGTTTCTTCTATTGTGGTGCAGGAAAAAAAATAGAACTTCTATCTTAAACATTTTTCTTTAAAAACAAAAAAAAATTGAGCTTTGCTAATATGTAATACATGGACTGACCACAGCACTCTCACTCAGTCTGTATGGTGGATGGTGGCATGTGATGACCGGTACATGTATCACAACAGAGACGCATTAGCACCATTGCCTTGAGTGTTTAGTGTTGAGAATTTTATAACATATTGCTTGTCACATGCTTGGTTATGAGGAACTACAGAATACATTACTTAATTTCTGCTAAATTAAACCAAACCTCACCAAACAGCCATTGGCCTAAAATATTACCTTCAAAGAAATCATGAATTAACGATGAGAATAAATATGCAATATAAGCATATACTAAGAAAAATGGCAGAGCTGCCACCTCTTCCTGTATGAGCTCTTTGCAGCTACATTAAAGGTATACATGATGGTCTAATCATATCTGACAAGAAAATCACCAAAAAAGTGAAATATGACAGGAGCATTTAAAATATGAATTCACATCTACTATTTCTGATGACTAAGTGTAGCTACACTTTGAGATACTTGCTAATGATATAGTGTCTCTTACAAATAGCAAGATGTTTACAAACTAAGCCTCCAAAACATGAAGACAGACATGATATACACATTTTACTACCACCTTTTTTAAAAAAATATATATATATATATCAGGCTGGGCGCGGTGGTTCACATCTGTAATCCCAGCACTTTGGGAGGCCGAGGCGGGCAGATCACGAGGTTGGGAGATCGAGCCCATCCTGGCTCACATGGTGAAACCCCATCTCTACTAAAAATATAAAAAATTAGCCGGGCATGGTGGCGGGCACCTGTAGTCCCAGCTACTCGGGAGGCTGAGGCAGGAGAATGGAGGGAACCCGGGAGGCAGAGCTTGCAGTGAGCCAAGATCGTGCCACTGCACTCCAGCCTGGGCAACAGAGAGAGACTCCATCTCAAAAAAAAAAAAAAGAATGCATATCAAAACTGTATCAGTGCAATAAGCTGCTGCACCCATCACCTGCTTCAGTGTTTACTGAATCACAGACAACCCTGTTTTTTTGTTTGTTCGGTTGGTTGGTTGGTTGGTTTTTTTTTTTGAGATGCAGTCTCGCTCTGTCACCCAGGCTGGAGTACAGTGGTGCGACCTTGGCTCACCGCATCCTCCACCTCCCAGATTCAAGCGATTCTCCTGCCTCAGCCTCTCGGGTAGCTGGAATTACAGGCATGTGCCACTGCACCTAGCTAATTTTTTGTGTTTTTAGCAGAGACGGGGTTTCACTATGTTAGCCAGGCTGGTCTTGAACTCCTGGCCTTAAGTGATCCACCCGCCTCGGCCTCCCAAAGTGCTAGGATTACAGGCATGAGGCACTGCACCTGGTCGACAATCTTGTTTCTTCTTCATCTGTATCCTACCCACTTCCCCCATCCACACATGGATTTTTTTTTAAATTTATTTTGGAGACAGAGTCTTGCTCTGCTGCCTAGGCTGGAGGGCAGCGGCGTGATCTTGGCTCACTGCAACCTCTGCTTTTCAGGTTCAAGTGATTCTCGTGCCTCAGCCTCTCAAGTAGCTGGGATTACAGGCACATGCCACCATGCCCAGCTAATTTTTGTATTTTTAGTAGAGATGGGGTTTCACCATGTTGGCCAGGCTGGTCTTGAACTCCTGACCTTAAGTGATCCACCCGCCTCGGCCTCCCAAAGTGCTAGGATTACAGGAATGAGGCACTGCACCTGGTCGACAATCTTGTTTCTTCTTCATCTGTATCCTACCCACTTCCCCCATCCACACATGGATTTTTTTTTTAATTTATTTTGAAGATAGAGTCTTGCTCTGCTGCCTAGGCTGGAGGGCAGCGGCGTGATCTTGGCTCACTGCAACCTCTGCTTTTCAGGTTCAAGTGATTCTCGTGCCTCAGCCTCTCAAGTAGCTGGGATTACAGGCACATGCCACCATGCCCAGCTAATTTTTGTATTTTTAGTAGAGATGGGGTTTCACCATGTTGGCCAGGCTGGTCTTGAACTCCTGGCCTGAAGTGATCCACCCACCTCGGCCTCCCAAAGTGCTGGGATTACAGGTGTGAGCCACTATACCCATGCCATAGATTGTTTTGAAGCAAATCCTAAATATTATACATTTCATTCATAAATATTTCAGTATTTTCTTAAAGATGACTTTAAAACTATAATATCCATGTTTACATGGAAAACAAAACCAGGTAAGGAATGCTTTTTTTTTTCTTTTTCACCATGGATGGCACACTGGACTTTTATTTTTCTTGTTTTAGAAAAATTTATTTTATTTTTAGTAGAGACAAGGTCTCACTATGTTGCCCAGGCTGGTCTCAAATTCCTGACCTCAAGCAATCCTCCCTGCTCGGCATCTGAAAGTTCGGGGATTACAGGCATGGGCCACCAAGACCAGCTAAGGAATCCTTAAATACCATCAAATATCCAAACTATTTACATTTCTTCTAACATGTTTTTTTTTTAAATATTATCATTTTATTTATTATTTATTTTTTGAGATAGAGTCTCGCTCTGTCGCCCATGCTGGAGTGCAGTGGTGCCATCTCAGCTCACTGCAACCTCCGCCTCCCAGGTTCAAGCGATTCTCCTGCCTCAGCCTCCTGAGTAGCTGGGACTACAGGTGCATGCCACCACGCCCGGCTAATTTTTTGAATTTTTAGTAGAGATGGGGTTTCACCATTATTACCCAGCATGGTTTCAGTCTCCTGACCTCGTGATCCGCCCTCCTTGGCCTTCCAAAGTGCTGGGATTACAGACGTGAGCCACCACTCCCGGTCTTTTAATAATATTTTTAATATAAATAGAGATGGGGGGGTCTCACTATGTTGCCCAGGCTGGTCTTGAACTCCTGGACACAAGCCATCCTCCCACCTCAGCCTCCCAGAGTGCTGAGATTACAGGCGTGAGCTGCCATGCCAAATTTCTCCTAACATTTCATAGTTCTCTTTTTCTTTCTTTCTTTTTTTTTATTGAGACATAGTCTCGCTCTGTCACCCAGGCTGGAGTGCAGTGGCACCATCTGGGCTCACTGCAACCTCCGCTGCCCGGGTTCAAGCGATTCTCGTGCCTCAGCCTCCCAAGTAGCTGGGACTACAGGCTTCTGCCGCCATGCCCAGCTAATTTTTGTATTTTTAGTAGAGATGAGGTTTCGCCATGTTTGCCAGCCTGGTCTCAAACTCCTGACCTCAGGTGATCCGCCCACCTTGGCCTCCCAAAGTGCTGGGATTACAGGTGCGAGCCACCACGCCTGGCCAGGTTTCATAGTTTTCTTTACAATTTGTTTGTTCAATTCAGGATCCAAATAAGATCCATATATTGCAACTGTTTGCTATGTTGTTTAAGTTTCTTTGTTATTTTTAATAAATTTTATTTTTTGGAACACTTTTAGATATATAGAAAAATTGCAAAGCTAATACACAGAGTTCTTATATATCCTGCATCCAGTTTCACCCATTATTAACACCTTACATTAGTGTGGTACATTCGTTATAATTAATTAACCAATACTGATGTTATTTTTTACTAAAGTTCATACATTATTCAGATCTTCTCCCTCTTCCCCGATATCCTTTATCTGCCCAGGATCCCACCCAGAACACCCCTTTACATTTAATGGTCCTGCCTCAGGCTCCACTTGACTGATAGTTTCTCAGACTTTTCTTTTTCTTTTTTTTGAGAGGTAGTCTCACTCTGTCACCCAGGCTGGAGTGCAGTGGTGCGATCTCGGCTCACTGCAAGCTCCACCTCCTGAGTTCACACCATTCTCCTGCCTCAGCCTCCCAAGTAGCTGGTACAGGCGCCCACCACCACGCCCGGCTAATTTTTTTGTATTGTTAGTAGAGACGGGGTTTCACCTTGTTAGCCAGGATGGTCTCGATCTCCTGACCTCGTGATCTGCCCGCCTCGGTCTCCCGAAGTGCTGGGATTACAGGTGTGAGCCACCGCGTTCAGCCAATTTCTCAGACTTTTCTTGTTTGTGACGACCTTGGCAGTTTTGAGGAGTACTCATCAGGTGTTTTGTAGAATGTTCCTCAAGTGAGATTTGTTTGATGGTTTTTTTAGGTCTAGACCAGGATGGGAATATTTTTTGGGAGGGGGAAGATCACAGAGGTGAAGTTCCATTTTCATCACACTGTCTCAAGGGTACCCTGTCAACACACTGTATTACTGTTGATAGTAACCTTGATCATCTGGCTGAGGTAGAGTTTGTCAGATTTCTCCACTGTAAACATACTCTTTTCTTCTCTTTTTCCATACTGTCCTGTTGGGCAGGAAGTCTTACAAAGCCCTCACATTAAAAAAAAAGTGAGTTATGCCTTCTTTACCCCTTTTACCTTCTACCTGAGGTTTCCCTTAGTCTTGTAGTCTCCCGGAAACAAGTTCAGCATTTATTTATCTGCAAGTGTCTTTATTTCATTTCTTTAACTTTTTGTTTTAAAGATTATAGATTAATAGGTAGTTTCAAAAATATTATAGAAAGGTCCTGTGAACCACTCCCAATGGTAACATCTTACATACATATAGTACAATTTCAAAACTGAGATTGAAATTGATCTTACTCAGACTTCACCAGCTTTACACATACTCATTTGTGTGCCTATGTATATGTAGTTCTGTTCAATTTTATTACATGTGTAGATTTGTGTAACCAAAACCACAACCAAGATACAGAGCTGTTCTAGCTGGGAACAGTGGCTCATGCCTGTAATCCCAGCACTTTGGGAGGCCGAGGCAGGCAGATTGCTTAAGTCCAGAAGTTCGGGACCAGCCTGGGCAACGTGGTGAAACCCCACTCTACAAAAGATATGAAAATTTTGCTGGAGATAGTGGTGCACGCCTGTAGTCCCAGCTACTGTGGAGGCTGAGGTGGGAGGATTGCTTGAGCCTGAGAAGCAGAGGTTGCAGAGCCTGTCTCAAAAAAAAAAAAAAAAAAAAAAAAAGAAAAGAAAGACACAGAACTGCTCCATCACCACGAAATCTTCCTCATGCTACCCTTTTATTCCTCTTCACTTTTAAACTTTTTAAAATTTTTTAAATTTTAATTATTATGGATATATAATAGTTGTGTATATTTATGGGGTACATGTGATGTTTTGGTGCAGGCATACAATGTGTAATGATCAAATCAGGGCAGTTGGGGTATCCATAACCTTATGCATTTATCATTTCTTTATGTTAGGGTTTTTGCTGGATATAGAATTGTAAGTAGACAGTATTTGTGTGTGTCTGTGTGTGTTTACTTTTTTTTTTAGATGGGGTCTTGCTGTGTTGCCCAGGCTGAAGTGCAGTGGTGCAATCATGGCTGACTGCAGCCTTGACCTCTCTGGCTCAAGCAACCCTCCCACCTCAGCTTCCAGAATAGCTGGGACTACAGGTGCATGCCACCATGCCTAGCTAATTTTTACTTTAAAGATGTTCCATTTTCTTCTGGCCTCCATTTTTCCTAGTGAGAAATCAGCTATCATCTTATTGTTGTTCCCTTAATGTGTTTCTCCCCACTCTGACTGGTTTTAAGATTTTCTCCTTATCTTCAGTGTTCAGCAGTCTGACCATAATGTGACTGTGTGTAGTTTTCTTTGCTTTTATGCTGTTTGAGGTTTCCCGGCCTTCTAAGTTTGTAAGTTACTGGGGTTTTTTATACAATTTAGAAAACTTTCCAGTCAGTATTTCAAGTGTTTTTTTTCTGCTTATATTCTCTCTCTTCTCATCTGGGGACTCCAATGTCATGTATGTTAGACAGTTTGATAGAATTCCACCAGCCATTGAGGCTCTGTTCATTTATTTCCTCAATACTTTTTCTCAATGTTTAAAAGTTCAGTAATGTTTAACAAAATTAGGATTCAATTCTGGGATTTCCATTTGGTTTTCTTTTATATTAATAGTTTTCATATCTCTCCTGAAATTCTCCCATCTACACCCAATATACCCATATTTTCTATAGATTTTATAACATAGTTAAAGCCCTTATCTGCTCATTGTAATGTCTGAATCATCATAGGTCTGCTTTTATTGAATGGCTTTTCCCTTGACTATACATATCTAGTAATTTTTATTGCATAATGGACATTATGAATGATATGTTGTGGAAATTCTGAATTCTGTATTTTCTGACAATTGTTGAGGTTTCTTCTGAGTTAATATTTGTATGTGGTGAAAGTATGGATCAAAGTTCTTTTTTTTTTTTTTGTATGTGAATATCTTATTGTTCCAGCACCATTTGTTGAAAAGACTCTGATTTCTCCACTGAATTGCCTTAGCACCTTTGTCAAAATTCAGTTGCCCATGTATGTGTGGGTCTGTTTCTGGGCTCTCTTGTGTCTCATTGATTTATTTGTCTGTCTTTATATCAACACTACACTGTCTTGATTACTGTAGTTTTATAATAAATCTTGAAATTAGACCAGGTGTATTAGTCCATTCTCATGCTGCTATGAAGAAATACCCGAGACTGGGTAATTTATACAGAAAAGAAGTTTAGTTGACTCTCAGTTCTGCATGGCTAGGGAGGCCTCAGGAAACTCACAATCATGGCAGAAGGCATCTCTTCACAGGGTGGCAGGAGAGAGAATGAGTGCAAGCAGGGGAAATGCCAGACCCTTATATTAATAAAATCATCAGATCTCATGAGACTCACTCATTCTCATGAGAACAGCATGGGGGAAACTGCCCCCATGATTCAGTTACCTCCTCCTGGTCCCTCCCTTGACACATGGGGGAAACTGCCCCCATGATTCAGTTACCTCCTCCTGGTCCCTCCCTTGACACATGGGGGATTATGGGCATTACAATTCAAGGTGAGATTTGGGTGGGGACACAGAGCTGAATCATATCATTCAGATTCTGGCCCCTCCAAAATTTCATGTCCTCACATTTCAAAACACAATGATACCCTTCCAACAGTCCCCCATAATCTTAACCATTCCAGCATTAACCCAAAAGTCCAAGTCCAAAGTGTCATCTGAGACAAGGCAAGTCCCTTCCGCCTAGTAGCCTGTAAAATCAAAATCAAGTTAGTTACTTCCTAGATACGATAGGGTTACAGGCATTGGGTAAATACACCCATTCCAAATGGGAGAAATTGGTCAAAAGAAAGGGGCTGCAGGCCCCATGCAAATCCAAAATACAAGAGAGCAGTCATTAAACCTTAAAGTTCTAAAGTGATCTTCTTTGACTCCATGTCTCACATCCAGGTCACGCTGATGCAAGAGATGGACCCCCATGGCCTTGGGCAGCTCTGCCCCTGTGGCTTTGCAGGGTACGGCCTCCTCCTGGCTGCTTTCATGGGCTGGTGTTGAGTGTCTGTGGCTTTTCCAGGTGCATGGTGCAAGCTGTCAGTGGATCTACCATTCTGAGGTCTGGAGGATGGTGGCCCTCTTCACACAGCTCCACTAGGCAGTGCCCCAGTGGAGACTCTGTGTGGGGGCTCTGACCCCACATTTCCCTTCTGCATTGACTTAGCAGAGGTTCTCCATGAGGGCCTTGCCCCTGCAGCAAACTTCTGCCAGAACATCCAGGCATTTCCGTACATCCTCTGAAATCTAGGCAGGGGTTCCCAAACCTTAATTCTTGACTTCTGGGCACCCACAGGCTCAATACCATGTGGAAGCAAAGAAGCACTGGGGCTTGTACCCTCTGAAGCAATGGTCTCAGCTATACCTTTGCCCCTTTTAGCCATGGCTGGAACTGAACCAGCAGGGATGGAGAGCACCATGTCTTGAGGCTGCACAGAGCAGGCTGCTCTGGGCCCAGCCCGTGTTAACTATTTTTCCCTTCTAGACCACTGGGCCTGTGATGAGAGGGGAAGGTCTCTGACATGCCCTGGAGACATCTTCCCAATTATCTTGGATCTGATTAACATTTGGCTCCTCATTATGCAAATTTCTGCAGTAGGCTTGAATTTCTCCCCAGAAAATGGGTTTTTCTTTTCTATCACATCGTCAGGCTGCAACTTTGCCAAACTTTTATGCTCTGCTTCTTCTTGAATGCTTTGCCACTCAGAAATTTCTTCTTGGCTGGGTGCGGTGGCTCACGCCTATAATCCCAACACTTTGGGAGGCTGAAGTGGGTGGCTCTCTTGAGGTTAGGAGTTCGAGACCAGCCTGACCAACATTAGTGAAACCCTGAGTGTACTAAAAATACAAAGACTAGCTGGGCATGGTGGCGAGCACCTGTAGTCCCAGCTACTTGGGAGGCTGAGGCAGGAGAATTGCTTGAACCCAGGAGGTGGAGGTTGCAGTGAGCCGAGATTGTGCCACTGCACTCCAGCCTGGGTGACAGAGAAAAAAAAAGAAATTTCTTCTGCCAGATAGCCTAAATCATCTCTCTCAAGTTCAAAGTTCCACAGATCTCTAGAAGCACAGGCACAAAGCTGCCAGTCTCTTTGCTAAACATAGCAAGAGTGGCCTTTGCTCCAGTTCCCAAGAAGTTCCTCATCTCTGTCTGAGACCACCTTAGCCTGGACTTCATTGCCCATATCATTATCAGCATTTTGGTCAAAACCATTCAACAAGTCTCTAGGAAGTTCCAAAGCTTCCCACATCTTTCTGTCTTCTGAGCCCTCCAAACTATTCCAGCCTCTGCCTGTTACCCAGTTCCAAAGTTGTTTCCACATTTTCGAGTATCCTTATAGCAGCTCCCCACTTGTGGTAGCAATTTACTGTATTAGTCCGTTCTCACACTGCTATGAAGAAATACCTGACACTGGGTTTTTGTTCTCTTTCTTCCTTCCTTTCTTTCTTTCTTTCTTTCTTTCTTTCTTTCTTTCTTTCTTTCTTTCTTTCTTTCTTTCCTTCCTTCCTTCCTTCCTTCCTTCCTTCCTTCCTTCCTTTCTTTCTTTCTTTCTTTCTTTCCTTCTTTTTTTTTTTTTTTTGAGACGGAGTTTCACTCTTGTTGCCCAGACTGGAGTGCAATGGTGCGATCTCGGTTCACCACAACCTCTGCCTCCCGGGTTCAAGCAATTCTCCTGCCTCAGCCTCCCGAGTAGCTGGGATTACAGGTATGTGCCACCACGCTCGGCTAATTTTGTATTTTTAGTAGAGATAGGGTTTATCCATGTTGGTCTGGCTGGTCTTGAACTCTCGACCACAAGTGATCCACCCCCCTCAGCCTCCCAAAGTGCTGGGATTACAGGCATGATCCACCGTGCCAGGCTGAGACAGGGTAATTTAAAAAGAAAAGAGTTCTAATGGACTTACAGTTCCTCATGGCTGGGGAAGCATCAAGAAACTTACAATCACGGTGGAAGGTACCTCTTCACAGGGCAGCAGGAGAGAGACTGAGTGCAAGCAGAGAAAATGCCAGACACTTATAAAACCATCAGATCTCATGAGACTCCCTCATTATCACAAGAGCATGGGGGAAACTGCCCTCATGATTCAATTATCTCCACTTGGTCCCGCCCTTGACACATAAGGATTATGGGGATTAAAATTCAAGGTGAGATTTGGGTGTGGACACAGAGCTAAACCACATCACCAGGTGCGATGGGTCATACATATAATCCTAGCACCTTGGGAGGCTGAGGCAGGAGGAGAGCTTGAGGCCAAAAGTTTGAGACCACAACATAATGAGACCTTGTCTCTACAAAAAAAAAAAAAGAAAAGAAAATAGCTGGGTATGGTGGCATGCACCTGTAGTCCTAGCTATTCTGGAGGCTGAGGCAGGAGGGAGGAGGATCACTTGAGCCCAGGAGTTTGAGGTTGCAGTGAGCCATGATTGTGCACCTTTTGCTGAGGTGATGAAGCTAGACCTGTCTCTTAAAAATGAATCTTGAAATTTTATGCTTCCAACCTTGTTCTTCTTTTTCAAAGTTGTTTTGGTTGGTTAATCTAGGTCCTTTACATTTTCTTTTTCTTTTTATTTTTTTGAGACAGTCTCACTCTGTTACCCAGGCCGGAGTGCAGTGATGCAATCTCAGCTCACTGCAACCTCTGCTTCCCAGGTTCAAGTGATTCTCCTGCCTCAGCCTCCTGAGTAGCTGGGATTACAGGCTCCCACCACCATGCTTGGCTAATTTTTTTGCATTTTTAGTAGAGACGGGGTTTCACCATGTTGGCCAGGCTGGTCTCGAACTCCTGATGTCAGGTGATCCACCTGCCTCGGCCTCCCAAAGTGCTGGGATTTCAGCATGAGCCACCGTGTCTGGCTGGTCCTTTACATTTTCATATGAATTTTGGAATCTGCCTGTCACTTTCTATTAGAAACAAAAGCCTGCTGGGACTTTGATTGGCATTATTTTGAATCTATAAATTAATTTTGGGAGGATTTACATTTTAACATTATTCAGTCTTCTGACCCATGAATGAAGTATATCACTCCATTTATTTAGTTCTTCTTTAATTTCTCTCAGGAATATTTAGTACTTTTCACTGTATAGGTTTTTATATGTGTAGACAGATTTATCCCTAGATATTTCATATTTTGATGCTATTATAATTGGATTTAGTTTTTTTTTCCCCAGTATTTGCTTGCTGGTTGTTAGTATATAGAAATTCAATTGGTGGCTGGGTGTGGGGGCTCGTGCCTGCAATCCCAGCAATTTGGGAGGCTGAGGCGGGCAGATCACTTGAGCCCAGTTGTTCGAGAACAGCCTGGGTAACATAGGGAGACCCCGTCACTACAATAAACACAAACAATTAGCCACGTGATATGGTTTGGCTCTGTGTCTCCACACAAATCTCATCTTGAATTGTAACCCCCCTGTGTCGAAGAGGGGACCTGGTGGGAGGTGACTGGATCATGGGAGTGGTTTTCCCCATGCTGTTCTGTGATAGTGAGTGAGTCTCATGAGATCTGATGGTTTAAAGGTGTTTGGCACTTCCCCCACTACCCCTTCTGTCACCACGTGAGACGTACTTTACTTCCCTTTAGCCTTCTGCCATGATTGTAAGTTTCCTGAGGCCTCCCCACCCTTGTAGATCTATGAGTCAATTAAATCTCTTTTCTTTATAAATTACCCAGTCTCAGGTAGTTCTTTTTTTTTTTTTTTTCATTTTATTTATCTATTTATTTTTTAAGATGGAGTCTCACTCTGTTGCCCAGGCTGGAGTGCAGTGGCACGATCTTGTCTCACTGCAACCTCCACCTCCTAGGTTCAAGCGATCCTTCTGCTTCAGCCTCCCAAGTAGCTGGGACCACAGGCATGTGCCACCATGCCCCACCATGCCCAGCTAATTTTTTTGTATTTTTAGTAGAGACGGAGTTTCACTATATTGGCCAGGCTAGTCTTGAACTCCTGACCTCATGATCCGCCTGCCTCAGCCTCCCAAAGTGCTGGGATTACAGGCGTGAACCACCGAGCCCAGCCAGGCAGTTCTTTATAGCAGTGTGAAAACAGACTAATGCACCAGGAGTGGTGGCACACCTATAATCCTGTCTACTTGGAAGGCTGAGGCAGGAGGAGGAGGATCACTTGAGCCCAGGACGTTGAGGCTATAGTGAGCTACGATCTCGCCACTGTACTCTAACCTAGGTGACAGAGCAAGACCCTGTATGAAAGAAAGAGAGAGAGAAGAAAGAGAAAGAGAGACAGAGAGAGGAAGGAAAGAAGAAAGAGGAGGAAGAGAAAGAGAAAAAGAAAGAAAGAGAAAGAGAGACAGAGAGAGGAAGGAAAGAAGAAAGAGGAGGAAGAGAAAGAGAAAAAGAAAGAAAGAGAAAGAGAGAGGAAAGAAAGAAGAGAAAGAAAGAGAAAAAGAAAGAAAGAAGGGAAAGAAAGAAAGAAAAGAAAGAAAGAAAAAGAAAGAAAGAAAGAAAAAGAAAGAGAAAGAAAACGTTCTTCTTTGAAAAGGCAATGGACTTCATATGTGGATGTAACATAGAGCTAAGTTACACTTCAACACTGAGTATAGTCAAATGTTCATAAAAACAAATACCATTTCTTTGGTCTTCGTTATGGACTGAATGGCCCCCGCCAAATTCATATGTTGAAATTGCATCCTCAGTGTGATGGTATTTGAAAGTGGGCCCTTTGGGAGGTGATTAGGTCATGAGGGTGGGGGCCTCATGAATGGGATTAGTGCCCTTAAAAGAGGCCTGAGAGCTAACTCACCTGCTTTCCACGATGTGAGGATACAAGGAGAAATCAGCCATCTGCAACCCAGGAGAGGGCCCTCATCAGAACCGACCATGCTGGCACCCTGGACTTCTAGCCTCCAGAACTGTGAGAAATAAATCTCTGTGGTTTATAACCTACCCAGTCTACGGTGCTTTGTTATAGCACCCGAAGAGGCTAAACTAGTCTTAAACATGAACTTTCATTTCTTCGCAAATATGGTCATATCCGTCTCAGAAGTTGGGTTTCTGACCTTGTTCTTTAATGATGTTGTGACGCTTGTACTGGTCCATCTGATCCTGATACTCTCTGGATTGATAAGTAGGTAACTGTCCCTGGAAAAATGGCAAGGTGGGGTAAACGTGTCTGAACGTATAAAACATTTCAGAAGAGGAACAACATCTCTTCAGAACCCTATCTTTTTTTTATTCTAAGGCAGGGTCTTGCCCTGTCACCCAGGCTGGAGTGCAGTGGTGTAATCATGGCTCACTGCAGCCTCGACCTCCCAGACTCAAGCAATCCTCCTGCCTCAGCACCTGCCCCCCATCAGCTGAGACTACAGGCACACACCATCATGCCCTGCTAATTTTAAAATATTTTGTAGAAACGTGGTTTCGCTGTGTTGCCCAGACTGGTCTTGAACTCCTGGGCTCAAGCCATCCGCCCAGCTTGGCCTCCCAAAGTGTTGGCCAAGGCGTGAGCCACCGCACCCAGCCAGAACCCTATCTTTTTATAAAAGGTTTTTGCACATTTGATGACTAATTGCCAATCTTGCTGTTTGCCTAATTTGGAGGGGGATGGTATTCACCACAAGGACAAGATATACAATTGGCTCAGACTCTCAGACTTTAAGCAAGAGAGGTTTGTGCCTTAAATCATTAGGAGAAAAGAAAAGCTGACGGATATGCCAGTTTTATTCCAGAAATGGCATCTCACCAAGGAAGTGACTTCAGTTTAGAAACAGAGCCCCTGAGTTCGAATTCCTGCTCTGCCATTTAGAATCTACATAGCCTTGGACAAGACACTCCACTTTGCCATGCCTCAGGGCCACTCGGAGACAGAGGGCACTCACCCACAGGGAGGGGTGTTCTGCCTGCGGTCTTTCCCCCTCCCTTGCCTGGTCTCCGTCTCTTCTGGGACTGGATTTAGTGTTTGATTCTGTCCTCTGTGTGACATACAGTATGTGATATGACACTGAATATGACGTTTCCTTTCAACTTGTCTTCAAATTATTCTATGATATTTACCTTCCCCTGAATTCTTTCATAACAGTAGTTCCTTTCTTGTTACTTGTTCTTTAATGTGGCTTTTGTTCAAGTTTTTATTTCCCAGCAAAGACCAACTTTCCTTTGATTTTGATGGAGGAAAGATTAGCTACATAAATCATTTGAAATTAAAGCAAACCAAACACAACACAAACATGAAAGGAATATCAAATGCTTCCCTGAATTAAAAGGGTTCCAATCCCAGCACCTCTGAAGATGGGCAGCGTCTTTACTACTTGACCTTAAAGAGGTAACCCAGAAGAAAAAAGAACTTGAGTTGTTAAGAGAAGAGAGAACAGCCAGCTGGAGAGGAACCAATGAAAAGCATTAGAGGCAGCTCTTGGCTGGAGGAAGAAAGCAGTCTGCCTTCAGCGTCTCGTACAAAAGTCTCCTGGTGCACTGTGCAGAGCCAGGCTTGGTTTAAAGTCTCTATTGTTAGCAGATGTCAGCACGACCAGGGTCAGGGTCAAACAGGGAACTCACAAAATGAGTTGAATATTTTAAAAAAAAAGAAAAAGTGATGTGCCTAGATAAACTACAAGAAAAAAAGCCATCTTTAATTGATGTATAAGAAATTTTAGCTGTTAATTTCCATGAGGATTACAAATGTTAAGATTAATGCAAGCATAAAATTAGCCAACTGTCTATAGCTCAAGAAAATTTGCCATTCAATATGCCATATATTAAACAGTAAAAATATTCAAACAGGACACTTTTGAAAATAAGCTTCATGCCCTGGTGGAAGAATGGATTATCTCAGAGAACTGAGCTCAGCAATAAATACATTCTTAAATGAAATATCCAATCCTTATTTGGGAGTGTAGCTTTATCTTAGTGTTTGCTGAGATACAGGAGTTCATTAGTAACTTGCCAGCTATGTAAGATACAGATAGACCACTAAATGAGCACACTGTGTCTGTATTGATAGTTTTATTTCCAGTGGAACTGAGATCAAGCACCGTGCTTGCTGGTTAGTTATACAGCTTTTTTTCTGGGGAAATTTTAGAAAGCTTTTTGTGCCCTAAGGGTCCCTCTGGGGTTTTCCTGCTGCACAGATTGTCATGTTCTGTGCAATGTGACTCTGAGATCCTGGTCCACAGCTGATTGGGTCAGAGAGGGGCACCTGACCCTAGTGCAGCCAGTTTCTAAGCTGGCCTGTGGCCGACTCAGAGCTCTGCTCAAAAGAGCCATCTATTCTGTGTGGTGATTGGCTTGCTCAGCCAGAGGATATTTGAATATAAGATGCAAGAGTCTGCAGTCAGAAGCAGGGTGGAGGCTGAAGGACACCCAGGGAGACTAGAGCCACGAGGCAGCAGAAGCCACGAAGCAGACAGAGCAACCATGGATGCGGGGATCACGGAGGAGTGGAGTGATGGGGAGCGACCACCGCCCACTGCTGTTCTTGGGGTGATGGCAGAAAGAGCAGGAGAGCAGGGCTGTATCCCCAACAGGGTTCCTGTTCTAAGCACGTTTGTGTGCAGGAGGCTGGCTGTGCAGCTGCCTGACCGTTCTCTGTTTCTTTTCAGTACAACCCTGTCACTAAGGTAACCAGACTATAGCTTTTTCTAGGGAGCCAGGATACCAAGCAAAGCCTTTGCTTATCAAACTGACTGGTTCTCACTAGGGGCTCTCAGAATCTCTGAGTGAGTTCGGCCAAGTGCTGGTCTTTGCATGTCGGTATTAAGCCAGAATACACACAAAGGGAGAGGAGGGTAGGCCGGCTAGTAATGCAACCAAGAGAAATATTAGGGAGTAGATAATTAAATTCTATGAAATTGAAGGATATGTCTTAGAAAGTATTTATGTATTGATTTTTGAAACAGGGTCTTGCTCTGTCACCCAGGCCGGAGCGCAGTGGCACGATCATAGCTCACTGGGACCAAACTCCTAGGCTCGAGGGATCCTCTTGCCTCAGCTTCCCGAGTAGATGGAACTACTGGTGTGGGCCACCACACCTGCCTAATGGTTTTATTTTTAGTAGAGACAAGGTCTCACTATGTTGCCCAGGCTGGTCTTGAATTCTTGGGCTCGAGCGATTCTCCTGCCTCAGCTTCGTAAAGTGCTGGGGTTACAGGCATGAGCCACTGCGCCTGACTTGTCTAGAATTTATGGTAAATTATTACAGTAGTCCTCCCTTAACCGCAGTTTTGCTGTCTGTGGTTTCAGTTACCCATGGGTGACCCTGGTCCAAAAAATATTAAATGAAAAATTCCAGAAACAATTCATAAGTTTTAAGTTGCATGCCGTCCCTGAGTCGCGTGATGAAATCCTGCTCCACCCTGCTTTGTCCAGCCCAGATGTGAATCAGACATCCCTTTCTCTAGGTACCTGTACTGTACATACTACCTGCCCTTCAGTGACTTAGTAGCCATCCCAGTTATCACACAAGAAAAACATAGTCTATACAGGGTTCAGTGCTACTCATGGTTTCAGGCATCCACTGGGGGTCTTGGAACACATTTCCTGTGGATAAGGGGTAACTACTGTTCTTTTACAGTTTGGGATTGTATAAGCTGGGCACAGTGGTTCACACCTGTAATCCCAGTACTTTGGGAGGCTGAGGTGGAAGGATCGCTTGAGGCCAGGAGTTTGAGACCAGCCTGGGCAACATGGGGAGAATGTCTCTACAAAAAAGTGAAAAAAAAAAAAATTAGCTGGGCGTGGTGGTACACATCTGTAGTCCCAGCTACTCAGGAAGCTGAGGCGGATGGCTTGAGCCCAGGAGTTCAAGGCTGCAATGAGCGATGATGGTACCACTGCACTTCAACCTGGGCAACAGAGTGAGACCCTGTCTCTAAAAACAAAATTTAAAAAATCTTGGGATTGTGTAAATAAATTTCCATTAAACAAGAATTGTTGACTATAACAACGGCCAACATTTTGTCTTTTTAGTTTTGTGGCTTATTTACTCCTGAAACCTCTTTTTGCATTTAAATAATTTTGCTTCAAATAAGGTAAAGTGTTAGCAGAGGCAACAAAGACTCCTCATGGTTACTGGTAGATCCATGCAACCAAAGCTTCCCGAAGATTTAAGCTTTTTCTTAAGGCATTCAGCGGTAAAGTTATTTTATTATTATTATTATTATTATTATTATTATTATTTTTGAGATGAAGTCTTGCTCTGTCCTCCAGGCTGGAGTGTAGCGGCACAATCTCGGCTCACTGCAAACTCCACCTCCCAGGATCAAGCGATTCTCCTGCCTCAGCTTCCCGAGTAGCTGGGATTACAGCTGTGCACCACCACGCCTGGCTTATTTTTGTATTTTTTCTAATTTTTATTTTTTTAGTAGAGACTAGATTTCACTATGTTGACCAGGCAGGTCTTGAACTCCTGACCTCAAGTGATCCACCCTCCTCAGCCTCCCAAAGTGCTGGGATTACAGGCGTGAGTCACCACACCTGGTCAAAAAATTATTATTTTGTATACAGGTGTAATAAAATGCATAAAAGAAATTATATTTTAAAATCTCTTGAAAATCCATTATCCAGAGGTAACTCCTATTAGTACTTTGGTATAACGTACTTCTAGACTTTTTCTAATCACATTTGTATGTATTTAGAGCCTACAAAAATGAAATCATACTGTCCATACCATTTAATGCCATCTGTTTGGCAAATATGCATCTATCCACAGCATAATTTTGAATGTCTGTGTAGTATTCCATTATATGTATCATAAGCTACTCCAACAATAATAGCAACCTATGGAGCTTTTACTTGGATTCAAGTGCCTTCTATGCACGACCTCGACTAACCCGCACACTGACTCTACGAGGATAGGTATGATTTAGTGTCTCCATTTAACAAGCAAAAAACCGAGGTTTAGGGCTGCTGGCCTGCCCAGTTGCTCCCCCTGTCACGTGGCGATTGGAAGGCAGGCTCACTGGCTCCAGAGCACGCACCCTGACAACCACTTTTGTGCTTCCTATTGTTGGACACTTTGGAAACCACCAAAGTGGTTTCTAAAAAGCTACATGCCAATTGTTATTTTGGTATAAATGTCATTTTTAAAAATTAAACCAGATAATCATATAATATGATAAATATCATAGAATATGTTTGAAAAGTAAAAGCAGTCCATTTTTATACCTGTCTCACTAATATTTAACTAACTCAAATGACAACTTACGCTAATTTTATTCTTAGAGACGCTAATGAAATTGCTGTGTTCATTCCCTCCATTCCTCTCCTGCAGTCAAACCGCCCCAGACGGGGACACCGCGTGGTTTCGAGAGGCCTCTGGCTGAGCTCCTCACCTGCTGGCAGCTTCTCTTCCTCCCCAGGCCCAGCCAAGTGAGGAGCCACAGCCTGGAGACAGAAAGGACACGGTGCCTCTCCTCCCTGCAGTCCTGTTCCTAGGACTTCTACCATGCCCTATCCCCATGTTTTGTCCCCATGCTGAAGGTTGGGGATTAAATTAAAGAGCATCCCTACACACGTTGCATAAGACCCACTCGGCACATATTTCCCCAGTAGGAAAGCAGCACAGTACCTTTCCTTACAAAGGCTATTTCTAGAAACCGCTCGCTAGGTGTAACTTGAACCTGATACTGGTCAATACTTCTCCTGGAAGCAGAGTGAGTTCATGAGCTGATGGAGGGCTGACTTTCAACTTTATTAGACTGTGATGCCCAGTGAGGTTGGCAGATATTTTCCAATTTGATTCAGATGATCTCTGAGAAATGGTCCGTTTAATCCGGATTTCCTAGGATGAAGCTATTGGCACCTCATTCAGCCTTCTGTATGGTTACATGCAGGGCTAGAGTCCAGGAGATGTACTCAGAAGAGGCACAGATGGATTCTAGTCTCCTGTGGGATCAGGACACATTGAAAGAATTCAAGGTCTTCAAAGAGGAACACAGGTGGCCTGGGAGTGTGAAAAGCTGTCCAAGAGGCGGGGCACAGTGACTCACCCCTGTAATCCCAGCACCTTGGGAGGCTGAGGCAGGAGAATCACTTGAGGTCAGGAGTTTGACACCAGGCTGCCCAACATGGCAAAACCCATCTCTACTAAAAATACAAAGTTAGCCGGTCGTGGTGGTGCATGCCTGTAGTCCCAGCTACTTAGGAGGCCGAGGCAGGAGAATTGCTTGAACCCAGGAGGCAGAGGTTGCAGAGAGCCGAGATCACACCACCGCACTGCAGCCTGGATGACAGAGTGAGACTCTGTCTCAGAAAAAAAAAAAAAAAAAAAAAGCTGTCCAAGAGCTACACAGGAACAGACAATGGAAAGAGAATCAATTTCCAGGTTTTCAACTGACATGGACATGCCCTTTCCTAGATGGGTCTGCCTGGCATGCACCTGAGTTTGTTGTGGCTCTTTTCCCACCTCAGAAAAGAAAGGTAGACCCCTCGCTAGTCCTAAGTCCTACTAGGTTGCATTGTTCCTGGTGTACCAAACACTGGGACACCAAATCAGGGAGCACTCCTTTAGTGATTCACGGGAACATCACAAGCCCTAATGCTTCCTATGCTCTTCCTTCTCATTCACATTTACCTTCAGGCTGCAGCCTGATGTTACAAGTGTGGTGTTGAGCTGAGAAGTTCAGAATTCAGAAGTCGGGGAGAGAGGGGTGGTGAGAAGAGCACTTTTCATGAACTCCCCTCTTCCATCCCTGGACTGTTGCCAATAAATCTCAATTTTGAACAAGAGTTTCATGAGAGCAAAACAAGGAGAACATTGAAAAAGAAATAATGTATATGTATATGACAACCACTTTTTTCTTTTTTAACAGAGACAGGGTCTCACTCTGTCACCCAGGCGAGAGTGCAGTGGCACAATCATAGCTCACTGTAGCCTCAACCTCCTGGCCTCAAGCAATCCTCCCACCTTGGCCTTCCAAAATGCTGTGATTACAGCAGTGAGCCACTGCACCTGGTCTAAAAACTACTTACTAAAAATAGTTATCAGAACATAATTCTTTTCCACTGCTGTCTCTTAAAACTCCCTCTCTAACATGCATTGTTAACTGGAAAGAAAAGAACTTCATTTGATTATTTTATTTTATTTTTGAGACAGGTTCTCGCTCTGTTGCCCAGGCTAGAGTGCAGTGGTGCAATCTTGGCTCACTGCAACCTCCACCTCCCGGGTTGAAGTGATCCTCCCACCTCAGCCTCCCCACTAGCTGGGACTACAGGTGTGTGCCACCAGACCCAGCTAATTTGTATATTTTTAGTAGAGATGGGGTCTCACCATGTTGGCCAGGCTGGTCTCAAGCTCCTGACCTCAGGTGATCCACCTGCCTTGGCCTCCCAATATGCTGGAGTTACAGGTGTGAACCACCACACCCAGCCAAAAAGAACTTTAAATAGCCAAAGCAGTATATGATGATTAAGCTAATTCTATTTATGCCAAATAAGTTAAGCAAAACTCAACAGAACTGAAAAGAGAAGTAGAAATCATGTGGGAAATTTTAATACTTTTCTCTCAGTAATTGATAGATTAAGTAGTTTTTGAAAATCAGTAAGGATAGGGAAGATTTGGTAATAAACTCACCAAACTTGTTAACAAACACCTATAGAACATTGCACTCAACAAACGGAGAATACACATTCTTTCCAAGCATATATAAACCACTTATGAAAACTGGCCCTGCAATGGGTCAGAAAACAAGTCTCAACAAATTTCCAAGAGTTTCTCACATCGATCATGTTCTCTGACCACAGTGCAAATGAGTTCGAAGTCAATAACAAAACATAGAAAAGAGAACTCCATACTTCTGGAAAATAGGAAATACACATCTACATAATTCATGGGTCAAAAAATCAGAAAGAAAATTAGAAAATATTTAGAACTGAATAA
The DNA here is from genome assembly GCF_000001405.40 of Homo sapiens. Classification (NCBI taxonomy): domain Eukaryota; kingdom Metazoa; phylum Chordata; class Mammalia; order Primates; family Hominidae; genus Homo; species Homo sapiens. The sequence goes on from NC_000007.14 coordinate 151,544,846, forward strand.
GAAAAATGCTACAAATGAGCACTACGAGTCAAAATTTATGAGATGCCATAAAAGGAAAAATTTTAAGCTTAAACGCTTACTTTAGGGGGAAAAAAGACTGAAAGTTAAACAGCTTTGTAACCTATTTTATCAGTTAGGACCGGGCGCGTCGGCTCATGCCTGTAGTCCCAGCACTTTGGGAGACTGAGGAGGGCAGATTGCTTGAGCTCAGGAGTTTGAGACCAGCCTGGGCAACATGGCAAAACCCCATCTCTACAAAAAATTAGCTGGGCATGGTGGCATGCGCCTTAAGTCTCAGCCACTCGGGAGGCTGAGGCAGGAAGATCACCTGAGCTTGGGAGGTTGAGGCTGCAGTGAGCTGTGATTGTGCCACTGCACTCCAGCCTGGGTGACCAAGTGAGACCCTGTCTCAAAACAACAACAACAAAAAATTAGGACAAAGAATAAACTCAAGGAAAGTAGAAAGGAGAGAAAAGAAAGAGCAGAAACCGAAGATATAGAAAACAAAAGTTAAACATTATGCATAAGGAAAAGTGTTATTTTTGTTTTTATTTTTGTTTTGAGTCAGAGTCTCGCTCTGTCTTCCAGGCTGGAGTGCAGTGGTATAATCTCCACTCATTGCAACCTCTGCCTCCCAGGTTCAAGCGATTATCCTGCCTCAGCCTCCTGAGTAGCTGGGACTACAGGCGCCCACCACCACAGCCAGCTAATTTTTGTATTTTTAGTAGAGACGGGGTTTCACCATGTTGGCCAGCCTGGTCTCGAACTCCTGGCCTCAAATGATCTGCCCACCTTGGCCTCCCAAAGTGCTGGGATCACAGGCGTGAGCCACCGCACCTGACGGCAAAATGTTGTTTTCAGAAAGAACTAATCAAATTGGCCAGCTTCTGGCTGGGCAGCAGGTCTAGAAAAGTCATTCATCCAGATGGAAGCAAGAGGATGGGAAGGTGCAGGAGGGAGGTCTCTGAGAAGAACAGAAACACAAAGTACCTGAGGTGCAACTCACTGTGAGGAGATGAACAGGTTTCTAAAAAATTTCTATAGCAGCTGCGCCATTTTGCTTTCCCACCAACAGGGTATAGGGGTTCCCTTTTCCCCCATGCTCTTGCCAACTCTTGTTGCCTTAGGTCTTATTGACAACAGCCATCCTAACAGTAATGGGGTGATACCTCATTGTGGCTTTGACTTATATTTCTCTCATGGTTAGTGATGCTGGGCCTTTGTATGTCTTCTTTGGAGAAATGTCTATTCAAGTCCTTACCTCATTTTTGAATCAGGTTGTTAGTTTTTGTGCCATTGAGTTGTAGGAGTTCCTTATATATGTTGTTATTAACCCTTTTTCGGATGTATGGCTTACAAATATTTTCTTGCATTGTATCGTTGCCTCTTCACTCTGTTGGTTGCATCCTCTGATGTGCAGAAGCTTTTTAGTTTGTTGTAATCCCATTTGTATCTTCTTGCTCTTGTGGCTGTGCTTTTGGTGTCATATCCAAGAAATCATTGCCAAGACCAATGTCAAGGAGCTTTTTCCTTATGTTTTCTTCTAAGAGTTTTGGGGGATGAATTAGTGATAGAACACTAATGGAACACTAAGCAAATGAAAAAGTGATTGCTGAGGTGGAGCAAGGCAGTGGGTGAGGTCATCTAGGGATGGGGGCTTTTCAGGTGAAGAGGAGCACAGGCGGGTTGATGATGTTGGCCATAAACATTGGAATCTGAACTAGAAGGAAGGGAGGGAAGCCAGCGAGTGTTTGGAGGGGTTGTGGGTTGGCCGTCTCCTTTGGGACTTGAGCAAGGGGGCTGGAGAAGGAGGAGTTTGCCCTCAAGATCAGCGCGTTCTTTCCTTCAGTGACCACATACTTGAAAGTAATGGTGGACAGGCAGGGGTGCGAGGCTGCCACCCTGCCTGTCATTTCACTTTCCAACAACATGTGCTCCCGGGATCCTCAGATGATCATTTAGTTTCACAAACAGAGGAAGGAGCATTCGTTCTCTAAGACACCTTGCCAATAAGAGAAGAAAGTGCACCCTGTTTTCTTTTTTAAAAAATGTTTACACTTCCTAAAAAACACTGTATTTTTAAAAAAAGCATTTGGGTCAACTAATTTATAGCACAAATAGGACTTTATGGGGGGAAGTATTATGAACACATCCAAAGTATTCATCATTATGTGTTGTGCTAAGATGCCTGAAATCTATAATATGGTTACTTTAAGTGAGTTTCCTTTCAATGTGCTAATAATAGTAGCATGCCCTATTTCTAATGAATGCATTTTAAAGTACCAGGAAATGAATCTCTGTTGCCATTTGAAAAATCTCTAGTGCCTGTTTTTAACTCTCAGCCTTATCTTTCCTATCAGATACATTTTAATTTTAATATGTCTCAGTTAAGATGCAGTTACTTTGAAAGGAAAGAAAATGGTTTACTTCTCTTGCGAACAACTTTTTATTATGGAACATTTCAGACACATACTCAGCACTTAGCTCTGTCACACTAATCAATGCCTGGCCAATCTTGTTACATCTGTCCCCCAAGCCACTCTCCCACCTCTATTCCTCTGAATGCTTCTAAAGCAAACCCCAAACATTATATTAGTTCATGGATAAATGTTGCAGTGTATGTCTCTAGCAGATGAGGACTTTTTTTTTTTTTTTGAGACAGGTTCTCACTCTGTTGCTCAGGCTGGAGTGCAGTGGTGTGATCAAGCTCACTGCAGCCTCGTCCTCCTGGGCTCAAGGGATCCTCCCACCTCAGCCTCCTGCATAGCTGGGACTATAGGCGCATGCCACCATGCCCTGGCTAATTTTTTGATTTCTTTGTAGAGATGAGGTCTCACTGTTGTCCGGGCTGGTCTTGAACTCCTGGACTCAAGCGATCCTCCTGTCTTGTCCTTCCAAAGTGCTGGGATTACAGGTGTGAGCCACTGTGTCCAGCTAAGGACTGAGGAGGGGGGACTTATTTTTTAAAAGGACAAAACCATATCCATAATACCATGATCCTACCTAAAGAAATCCTGGAATTCCTCAGTGTTGTCAACTACTCAGTCAATATTCAAATCTCTGAATTATGAAATCATTTTTAAAAAGGGTCCCCACATTGAATTTGGCCTATGTAGTTGCATTCATTGTCCCCTGTCCCCCCACTTTGTTTTCTTACAGTGCATCTGTTGAGGAATACGGGTTTTATGGATTTTGCCCATTATAGGCTCATTGTTTGGGTTCCTGTGTCTGCATTTCCTGTACATGAATAGTTAGACCTAAGTGGCTTGATCTGATTCAAGTTTGATTTTTTTTTGTAAGAAGACAGGATAGGTTTGACCACTGTTTGATCTGAGGTCTTTCTTTCTTCCTTTAAAAACATGAACTAGAAGGCATACGGGAGGAATCTGCTGCGGGAAAACACAGATCGATGCTGTTGCATTTCATCTCCCAAAAGCAAGGCCATGTCCATCTTGGGGAGTGGCAGTGAACATCTCTGTCGATTGTGTCCTTGGCTGTGCAGAAGCTTTGTATTTTGATGCAGTCCACTTGTCTACTTTTGCTTTTGCTGCCTGTACATCTGTTTCATTTACATGATCTCACTTAACATGCTAAGTGTTTTATGTGCCAGGTGTTTTACTTACATTATTTCACTTGAGCCTCCCAAATGCCTTCAGAAGAAGGTGCTGTTATTCCCATTTTACAGATCTGGAAGTTGAGATCCAGAGAAGTGAAGAACCAGTTTTAAGGCTAGAGGCATAGGGTGGGGAGGATCAGGGGCAGCCTGTGCTTGTCACAGCGACTGCACGTTCCGCTGACCTCCAAGATGCGCCTGGAGATTGGCTGCCCCCGCTTCAGCAGTCAGCCCAAAGGGCAAACATAAGAAACGTTTCGGGAGGGAACAAGGGCCTCCATCCTTTCCTGTGTTGGGCTGTTACTCTTTCAGCTTGACATGCATCCCCTTGTCTTCTTGATGAAGCATTTAAGATGGATACACTCAAAGTGACACTTACATTCTGCTCCCAACTAGGAATCTCTTATTTCCCTCAGGGTTCCCACTGGGAGGAGAGGGACTGCCTTGGGTGCCCTTTGTGCTTCCTAGGTCTAGTTTCTCTGTTATTAACATTGAGGCTTTGATCTCACCTAATGGTGAAAACGGGTAAAAGTGTCAAAACTTGTATTGCAGAAAAAAAAAATCAGTAAAATAGGGTGCAAAGAGAGGCATTTGTATTAACTTCCTGGGGCTGCCATAGCAAAGTATCCCAAACTGGCTGGCTTAAAACAAGGGACGCAGATTCTCTCACAGTTTTGGAGGCCAGAAGGCTGAAATCAAAGCGCTGCAGGGCCACGCTCCCTCTGAAGGCTCTGGGGAGAATCTGTTCCACGCTTCCTTAGCTTTCGGGGTTATGCCAGTCCTTGGTATTTCTTAGTTTGTGCATGTGTCACTCCCACCTCTGCCTCCAGTGTCACATGCTCTTCTCTTTGTGGATCTGCTGTGGTTGAATGTGTCCCCTGAAGTTCATGAGTTGGAAGCCTAATCCCCAGTGTGACAGCATTGTGAGGTAGGACATTTAAGAAGAATGTAACGGATTAATGTCCTTATGCTGAGAGTGGGTTTCTTATAAAAGCAAGTTTGGGGTAGGTGCGGTGGCTCAGGCCTATAATCCTAGCACTTTGGGGGGCTGAGGCGGGTGAATCACCTGAGGTCGTGAGTTCAAGACCAGCCTGGCCAACATGGCAAAACGCTGTCTCTACTAAAGATACAAAAAAATTAGCTGGGGGTGGTGGTGGGCGCCTGTAATCCCAGCTACCCAGGAGGCTAAGGCAGGAGAATTTCTTGAACCTGGAAGGCGGAGGTTGCAGTGAGCCAAGATCACGCCACTGTACTCCAGCCTGGGTGACAGAGTCAGACTCCATCTCAAACAAACAAACAAACAAACAAAAAAAGAAGTGTGGGCTCCTGGGCTCCCTCTTGCCTTGTGATGCCATCGGCCATGCTATGACTCAGCAAGAAGGCCCTCACCAGATATGGCCCCTTGATTTTGGACTTCCCAGCCTCTAGAACCGTGAGCCAAATAAACTTCTTGTTTATAAATGATGCGCTCTGTGGTTTTCTGTTATAGCAGCACAGAATGGACTAAAACAGCATCTATGTCCAAACTGCCCTCTTAAGGACACTGGTCATAGTGGGTTAAAGCCCACCCTAACGGCTTCATCTTAACTTGAATATATTTGCAAAGACACAATTTCCAATAAGGCCACATGCATAAGTAACCAGGGGTGACAATGACATTATATGTTTTGGGGGGACACAGTTTAGCTCACAGCAGCCATTTGGAACTGGGATTAAGAGCATAGGCTATGGCCAGGTGCAGTAGCTCACACCTGCAGTCCCAGCACTTTGGGAGGCCAAGGTGGGAGAACTGCTTGAGCCCAGGAATTTGAGACCAGCTTGGGCAACATAGGGAGACCACATTTCTACAAAGAAGAAAAAAAACCCACATTAAATTAGCTGGGCATGGTGGCACATGCCTGTAGTCCCAGCTCCTCAGGAGGCTGAGCTGGGAGGATCACTTAAGCCCAGGAGGTCAAGTCTGCAGTGAGCTGTGATTCCACCACTGCACCCGAGCCTGGGTGACAGCGAGATCTTCTTTCAAAAAAAAAAAAAACAACAAAAAACCAAAACACACACACACACACAAAACACACAAAACCACACACACACACACACACACACACACACACACACACACAACCAAAAAACGAGCATAGGATTTGGTATTAGACTGTTTCGAAGGCCTCAAATTTGGTGTGGTATGAACTTGGCCAAATTAGTTAACATTTCTGGGATAATAAAGACTACCTCATGATAACGTGTGAAGATTAAAAAAGATCATGTGTCCAAAGCACTTGGCTGAGTGCCTGGCAGGAAGAAGCACTTGGTGGTTGGTAGGTCTCCTCCCCTTATTTTTCTTTGCATTACTGTTATTTGCAGTAGTAGTAATGATTAATAGTCTGTGGTCTAAGCAGGCCTCATCATGAGGGTGAGATTTCAGCAGGACTTGAAGGAGGCAGGGGAGCTGGCCCAGCTGGTATCTGGAGAAAATATTCCAGGGAGAGGAAACAGCTGTAACAAAGCTTCCAGATCCTTCTTACATTGCTCTGCTTTAAGATTTTTTTCTTTTTCCTTTCTTCCCCCACACTAGAACGCAAGCTCCTGAGCACGGGAGTTTACTGCCTCCTAGATGAGTCCTAAGCCCCCAGAACAGTGCCTGGTGTGGAGCAGGGCACTCTGTGCACAGTGTAACAGTTGTTATATAAATCAGTATTGAAGCCCAGAGGGACTGGGGAGGAAACATCTCTTTTGTGAAGTTCTAAAAAGTCATGAGATGATGTGGACCATGAGCCTCATGAGAGCCCCCTCATTGCAGGCCAGGTGGCTGGTGCCTGTATTTGAAAGACTCCTCTGAACCAGGGGTACCACCTTCTCCTCTTTCCACTGGACACTTCTGATTAGGACTTATCCCAGGGGCTGGTCCTAAAGCAGTACTTAATTAAATTAAATCAAATTATGTATTTATTTATTTAGAGACGGAATCTTGCTCTGTTGCCCAGGCTGGAGTGCAGTGGCAAGATCTCGACTCACTGCAACCTCTGCCTCCCAGGTTCAAATGATTCTCCTGCATCAGCCTCAGCCTCCCTAGTAGCTCGGATTACAGGTGTGTGCCACCATGCCCAGCTAATTTTTGTATTTTTAGTAGAGACAGTGTTTCACCATGTTGGCCAGGCTGGTCCCAAACTCCTGACCTCAAATGTTCGCCTGCCTCGGCCTCCCAAAGTGTTGGGATTACAGGCGTTAGCCACCACGCCCAGCCTTTTTTTTTTTTTTTTTTTTAAAGACAGGATCTTGCTCTGTCACCCAGACTGGAGTGCCGTGGCGCCATCTCGGCTCACTGCAGCACTGATCTTCTTGGGCTCAACTGATCCTCCCACCTCCGACTCCGGCGTGGCTGGGACCACAGGCACATATCACTACGCCAGTTAATTTTTTATTTTTGTAGAGATGGGTCTCACTGTGTTGTCTAGGCTGGTCTTGAACTCCTGGCTTGAAATGATCCTCCTCCCTTGGTCTCCCAAAGTGCTGGGATTAGAGGTATGAGTCACAGCATCTGGCCCCTAAAACAGTAAAAATCAGGGAATCGTGGGTCTGGATTTCAAGAGGCTCAGGAATGAGCTCATCAAATCTCTCCCTCAGTGGAGGTGAGGGGCAGTCTTTTGTACTTCTGGCTCCTGGAGCCAGCCTTGTTTTTCTTTCTGAGCAGGCACTGGGACACTTTCCTCCGTTCTCCTAAAAGGCAAGAGGAGCTCTCTCCACACATGGCTAAGTCGTATTCTTTGTGCGCGGTTGGTCTGCGCACTTGGCCACCTCTGGATTTGTCTGTAACACTGCAGATTATGTGGCATCTCTCTAACTTAATAGTCAACTGGCAATCTAGAGGGAAAAACTTTGTGGGATGGGGACGCTGCACCAGCGCCACGATCCACATAGACGTGCTGGCTTTCACCAGCCACTGTCCAGACTCTGAACAGACATCAGTTGAGCACCTGCCACATGCCGGATCCTTGCCAGAGCTCAGAGCATCGAGATGAACAGGTCACCCTCCTCAAAGGACTCAGGGGACCACTGTGTCAACAACAACTGCTACTAACATTTACATGGTCCTTTAGAGCCTGCAAAGTGCTGTTGCCTATAAACAACTTGCCAGGTGAGAAAAACCAGTCTAAACAAGGTAAGGGATTGCACAACAGCTTCCTGGCAGTGACAGCAGTGCCGGGCAGCAAACCCTCCTCTGACTGCAGATGCCAGCCGCTTTCAACCACTGCTCTCCGCTGGCCAGGAGGGAGTGAGGGTAGGGTAGGGACGGTGACTTACAACAAATACAGCTGTGTGTGTGGCGGGTCTTGTGCAGCACAGAGGGAGGGGGCATCTGTTTGCTGGGGAGGGAGAGTCACAGCAGAAGTCATATTTGATTCAGATCTTGAGAGATGAGCAGAATTGCTCTAGATGGAGAATCTGGAGATATGGTGCAGGCAGGCAGGTGTGGAAGCTGGGGACCCTTCTGGAGTGCAGGGAAGTGCATCAGTGTGGGCAGAGGCCAGTGAGGGCCTCCATCTCCCAGCTCAGGAGATAAGGCTGGATTCTCTAGGCAGCGAGGGTTTCCCAGCACTGAAGTGATTCGATTTTTGGTTTAAAAATGCAGCCAGGCATAGTGGCCATAATTCGGAAGGGACACCTCTTAGGGCTTACAACTCGAATGCATTCAAAGCTGTTGGAAATGCTGCCCTCTTAGGAGATCTTTTCAAAGGGGTGGGGAGGAGGATTTAAAAATGCACAGAAAACGAGGTGGTTTCCAGCTTTTCTGCTTTGTGTGTGCAGGAGCAGAGGTGAAGGAGGCTGTGTTGGAAACAGGAGTGAGGTGCCCAGGGGCAGGGCTGTAGACAGAGGTGAGGGCTCCTCGACTGCCACCCTCTCCCCTTGCCTGGCGGGTAAGTGAGGCCACTGTGGGAGCTTTGCTCCTCCTTCCTGGGCCTTCGCGCCTGAGCCCCGCAGACTCCATCGCACGCTCCGTGTCTCCTCTGCTCTCTGCAGCTCAGGCAAGTCGGCCACAAGTGCAGGGCCCGGCTCCGGCCACTTCTTCCCCATTGGCCCAAAGGGCACAGGTGAGGACGGGGACAGCAGGAAAGGAAGGAAGCTGATCTGAGAGCAGCGTCAGCCCGGCTGAGAGCCCACTGCTGTGTGCCAGGGGCAGCTCCCATCCAAAGCCTTTCGCCCTCCAATGCCTGTGAGGCCCAGGAGGTGGCTTGAATGAGTGAGCTAGGGGGCCTGGGTGCAGGCAGAGGAGCAGGGCCTGGCCCATCGCAGTCCCCTCTCCCCACCCCAAGCTGTGACAACCGAAGATGTTTCCACATTGCCAAATGCCCCCCTGGGGAACAGAATCTCCCCTGGCCGCGAAGACCGTCCGCTTCCCTGAGTTTAGAAGACTAAACCTTCCTAAGAAATGTTCTAAGAAATTCTATCAGTTCAATACATTTACATCATAAACTCTTCTTAGAGATTAGAATGCGAAACAGAACCAACATCCTTGATTTGTGACATGCACCTGCCCTTATCCACCACCCAGGTGACATTCAGGACAATCCTCTCAAGTGCCCTCAGCTCCGCCTCAAGGCGGGGGTGGGACAGCACAGGCAGCCAGCGCCCACGGGGTCCCTCTGAGCCTCACCATGACGAGGTCAGGGCAGACACCTGGGGGTCACCCAGCAAGGGTTTCTCTATCTAGAACCACTTAAGACTTATTCCCTTCAAATCTCTCCTTCAATACATATTTACCAATGTGTGGCCTTTAACTAGACTTGGCCTCATTCAGGGCCACTTTCCCTTATTCCTACAAAGGCACTGAGCAGGAGCAGCACGCTCACCACAGCCACGCCTTCACCATTTGCTAGGAACAAATGCCAACCCTTCGCTGGAAGAGGGTACCAGGCCTTTGTTAGTTGTAGCCTGACAACAGGAAGAGGCTGCTCCAAGGCCAAGCCTCAGTGAGAGGCCTGTTGTGAGCCGTGCCGTGCCTGGCACAACTCAGGAGCCTGGAACAAGCATGCCTGAGGGAGACCAAGCTCTGCTGAACGAGCCTCGCGGGAATAGGAATAGGAATCGCGAGTACCTTTCTACATGCCCCGAAACCCTTTTCTAAAGCAAAAATATGCTATGTCACCTACACACCTAGATATATGCCACATCATCTATATAACTATACACGTGGTGACCTATAGTTATGTGTTGCTTACCCATGAGAATGCATTGAGAAATGTGTTGTTAGGTGATTTCATCTTTTCTTTTTTGAGCTGGAGTCTCGCTCTGTCACCCAGGCTGGAGTGCAGTGGTGCGATCTAGGCTCACTGCAACCTCCTTCTCCTGGGTTCAAGTGATTCTCCTGCCTCAGCCTCCCGAGTAGCTGGGATTACAGGTGCCCGCCGCCACGCCTGGCTAAGTTTTGTATTTTTAGTAGAGACGGGGTTTTGCCATGTTGGCCAGGCTGGTCTCGAACTCCTGACCTCAGATGATCCACCTGCCGCGGCCTCCCAAAGTGCTGGGATTACAGGTGTGAGCCACTGCGCCTGGCCTAGGTGATTTCATCTTTGTGTGAACATCATAGAGTGTACTTACACAATCCTAGATGGTGCAGCCCACTACATGCCTGGGTTATAGGTATGGCCTATGGCTCCTAGGCTACCAAACTGTACAGCATGTTACTGTAGACAACTGTAACACAATGGTATTTGTGCATGTAAACATAGAAAAGGTACAGCAAAATGCTGCTGTGATACTCTCATGGGGCCACTGTGATATATGCAGTCTGTCCTTGACTGAAGCATCTGTACATGGCCCACGACTGTACCTATATATGTGCCACGTCACCTGTATGTAGATATGTACTCTGCAGACACTCATGTGTTGGGTACACAAACAAGGAGCAGATTGATAAATTCTCTGAGTTTCAAAATTGTGTTGTTTTGGCAGCTTTGTGACTTTTTCCTTTCTCCCAAATATTACCATTAGCTTAAATCACAACCACTATTGTTTCTATGGGGAAAACATACACATTTGCTCTCCCTCTCATATTTGGACTACTAGGAAATGAAAAACTTGATACCTTAGCACCCATGCAAAAAACCTGTGTGGCAATTTTAAATTAAATATATTCATACTCAGCCAGGCACGGTGGCTCACGCCTGTAATCCCAGCACTCTGGTAGGCTGAGGCAGGTGGATCGCCTGAAGTCAGAAATTTGAGATCAGCCTGGCCAACGTGGTGAAACCCCGTATCTACTAAAAATACACACACACACAAAAATTAGCTGGGCGTGGTGGTGCATGCCTGTGATCCCAGCTGCTTGGGAGTCTGAGGCAGAAGAATCGCTTGAACCCAGGAGGTGGAGGTTGCAGTGAGCAGAGATCACGCCACTGCACTTCAGCCTGGGCGACAGAGCAAGACTCTGTCTCAAAAAAATAAATAAAATAAAATAAAATAAAAATAATAAATACATATATTCATACTTAATAGTGGAGAGAGAGAGTTTATGAATTAAACCCTGACTTTTTTTCCTGATACCGGAAAAGAGATGAAATTCATGTACTTCTTTATTTGGGGAGAAATAGCTAAGTGGAAAACTGCATGTAGAATTTTAATCGATAGGTGTTGAAATATAAGGCATTTTAAATAACTTCTTTAACAAAATGGTAGATAGTAGGATCTATTTTAATTTTTCAATCTGAAAAAAAAAAACCCAAAACAAAAAAAAAACAAACTATCCTCATATATATATATACAGTGTCAACATTTTCAGAGCACTTACATTAGGAAACATTGTTTCTCTTCAACTGTATGACAATACTGTATATGCCACAATAAAATTTACAAAAACAATCGCATCAGCAGTCATAACAAACATCATGATTTTACATTTCAATACACAAGAAAAAAAATAGACATCTTCCCGGCACTTGGCTCCCGCCTGACGGCAACGTCTCCTCCACACTTTGAGAGACCTCAGCTTTTAAAACCCAGCAGCGGCTATTTCAGAAGTCATGTCCTTTCCAGATCCAAACTTAAATAATGAGAAATTTGCCATTTCAAAATAACTGAGAGTTTATTCATGGATGTGGTGAAGTTTACTCCACCAAAAGATGTGTAAAAAAATTGCATGAAAGTAAAAATAAATAAAGCTGTTGTAAAGCAGCCTCGTTGACACGGTAGCCCAGAACAAAACACTTACGTGTAAAAGTGTCATTACAATTTTAAAGTAATTATTTATATTCAAATTACAACTTTTTGACAAATCTAAAGAAAACAAACTGATTTGGTAAAAGGTTCAAAGACTTCCACATTCAAGCTCGGTGTTGTTTCACACGCGTGCGCCCCGGCTGCGGCGGTGACATATTGCTGTATTCGGACATAAGGCACTGTGATCTGAACATACCGTGCACTCACCTTATGCCACATCACCTGTTCCATACCAGTGAATTCTTTGAAATGAAAAATAATGAAAACTTCAGGACACAGTGCACTTTAATGACATACAGCATTTAAAATCCTTCAGACAAAGGTCTGAAAACAGTCTTTTAATGCAAGCCTGAATCTTCAAGCACATAAAATCTTTCTTTTTTAAGCTTAATTTCAACATCACTGGAAGAAATACCTATTGTTAAACCCTGATATACATTCTTAACCACTTGCAGCCAGTGTTCATGAGGCAAAACGTGACCCAGAGACTTTGTTCAAGTTCTCCTCCTAGGGCGTCTACATTCACGGCGGTCACTCCGTTTCTGTCTCCTTTTGTTTGGCACCTGTCAGTGGATGGAAGATGAAAGTTTCAAAGCTCATGGTAACAGCAGGGTTCTCTACCCCAGGGGTTTCTACCTGTGTCTGGCAGTGCCTTAGGAGGATGATCCAGAGGCTTCGGAGGAGGGCGATGTGGGAAGGAGCAGGTGGCCCAAGCTCCCATCTCCCACCCAATCGTTCGGGCAGCTTGGATCCACGTAACATCTTGTCATTCTAAATATGTCAGATTTAACTTGGAAAACAAAAAAAAAGAATTCCACTCTTAAAAAATTTTACTAAGAAATATGTAGGTATGTTTTAGTGAAGGTGTGAAGTATTTCAGTTGTGCACTCTTACAAATATGTATTAAAAAAAGGTTTAGGCCGGGCGCGGTGGCTCACATCTGTAATCCCAGCACTTTGGGAGGCCGAGGCGGGCGGATCACCTGAGATCAGGAGTTCAAGACCAGCCTGGCCAACATGGTGAAACCCTGTCTCTACTAAAAATACAAAAATTAGCTGGGCGTAGTGGCGGGCGCCTGTAATCCCAGCTACTTGGGAGACTGAGGCAGGAGAATCGCTTGAATCCGGGAGGTGGAGGTTGCAGTGAGCCGAGAGATCATGCCATTGCACTCCAGCCTGGTTGACAAGAGTGAAACTCCGTCTCAAATAAAAAAAAAAAAAACAAAAAAACAAAAAAAAAACCTTTATAAATATTCTGAAGGATAATTGCACCTAACAAGTATCTGGCTAGGACATTCCACAGTGGATTGGCAGGGAGAGCTACTATTTTTCTCATCACAGGAGCTTCTCTCCTAATTTTTCACCAGACGCTAGACCCCTGAAAGAGATCGGCAATCTATTAGAGCGTGTGGCTGAAACACCGTAGCTCCTGGCATCAGACTGCCCACACACTGGATGCACGCACACATGGGTTCATTTGGACAGTCTAAGTTTGACAATGAACTGTTGCTAAAAACTTTTTTGAGAAAGAGAAAGTGTTATTGTGTTGAACCAGTACCCCTCTGGGGAACGGTGGCCATTGCCCGATGAAAAGAATCACCACTAGTACCTTCTAATCGAGTAACAGCAGACACTTCATCAAACTGCCTCTTACTGACTATTCCATGGACAACCACCTAACAGTGCAGGTCCCGGGCACTGCGCCTCATTGCACACACATGGCTTTTGTGCACGGCTTTCAGCTCTTTTCATAGCAACATAGGAGGGAGACGGGCCTGTATCAGCCGGCTCCTTCTCTACTGAAGAAATTGGGGCTGAAGGAGGTGAAGCGACTTGCTTACATTCAGACAGCGCTCGGGTGGGACAGCTGGGACTTGGCCTCACGGTGGGGGCCTCCTCACTTGCGATTGTTGATCAGATGCAGGCGCTCCCTGAGTTCCACTCCAAAAGTTCACTTGTAATCCAGTTATTAGTAACACGGAATGTTTTCCTCAACAAATCGTGTTGTATACACTGTATCATAAGGAATTCCAACCCAGCTACCCCCATCTTCACGGCACAATTTCTATGGTAACATACATTCCAAATTCCAGCTGGAAATAGATTCCTCTCTGCACCAGCAGTGATGGGAGGGGCATTGCAATGACTTAGAATTTTTGAAATACCAAATCTGGATGGAAATTTGAACTCATCCAGCACAACCGTTCATTCTTATGGTTTGAGATATCAAGAAACAGAGAGGATGAATCGCTTGACTTGTTTACTCTTTTTGTAATGCCCAAAGAGACAGACAAGAGCTGACATTCAGCCTGACCCGCTGGGCAGACTGTGTCCCGTGGTCCAGGGCTGGAAACGGGGCATCTTTTTCTGAAGGTGCCAAGCTATATACCTGTGGGGATAAATCTGCCCAGAGAAGAGGCCTTTTCTAGTTAGCACAAATGTGCTGTGCAGTTATGCCTGCCTGGAAATTTATATGAATTTAATGATGGTCTGGATGAGCCTGGCTCCCTCTGTTCAATGTTGCCTGTGAGATTCCTCCACTGTTGAATGCAGCTGTACTGTTCGTTTTCAATCCTGTATCGTATTCCATCGAATGAATGTGACACAATTTATCCATTCTTCTTTTCAAAGATATTTGGATTATTCCCAGTTTTATGGCATTAACATTCGTTTAGTTCTTAATGTTTCATGATTATAGAGACTATTGTGAGATTCAGGTCTTTTAAACACTTGAAGTTTGCAAGTGACTGCACCAGGCCCCATTTCTAGAGTTTCTGATTCAGTGGATATGGGACGGGGCCCCAACATGAACATTTCATTTTCTAGTAAATTCCAGGTGGTGGTGATGATGCCTGGCCTGAGGACCACCTCGGAAAAATCACTGCTGTACTGGAATTTCTCTTGGTGTTCTCATTTAGCGAATAAGACATGTTTCTTGCAGGTGGTGAAGATTCCTTTAGGGTAGGTATTTTTGGGTTACAGACTTAATTGTAAAAACTAGTCTTAACTGAAATTTCTGAACTAAAGAGAAATCAATACTGTAGCACACACACCGTTTAATATTGGATTCTGAGAGTTCAAAGGGCATGCTGTTTGCTCCCACATCGGGTCCATGTGGCCCTGACAAAGGCTGGGTTGTTCATATTTGACTGGGGCTGGGGAGGTGGAGGGATGGGAAGAGGAGGAGGGAAGGGAGGGCTGGCAGTTTTAAGAACTCTCAAGCCCACCTCTTACTACTGAGTGTGTGAAATGAGAGGAAGGCCAGCTCCTCTTGTCTAAAGCCCTCTCCCGTTCTCTCTGCTCCTCACTGTCTGAGACTCTGAAGGCTTGCTCAAAGTGAATCTGTCAAAAAATGAGTTTAACCACACTCTATCTGAAAGTGAATGTGATTTCTGTACAATATTAATGAATAAAAGTTTGTGTTTAGGTATTCTGTTTTATCTACTCAAAATATAAGTTTTTTTTCTCTTTAAGGAAAGATGAAGGTATCAAATAGAAGCCAGTGACGTTCCCTCTATGTTTCTGGTCACTAGTTCTCTCACAAAGCACAATTGAAGAGGTCTTTTCAGTGGAAAAGGTTATGATGAACATGGCAATGGCTCCCAAGTCATTTAGGGGGCCACTGGACCTTGATAGGATGCTCTTAACTTCGAATACGTTCTATACACTTTCCTCACTCACGCAGAACACTTAAACTTCCCAACTGAAGAGAAAACGAAAATGGTTTCAAAGTAATATACTCAAAGCCTTGATCTGTAGGTGGGTGGAGAAATGATGGTTTAAATGCTGCACTTCCTGTTCTACCTCCCACCCTTCCTAGACGCCGATGGCAAAGGTCAGAAACCAGCATTTTACCTGCTGGTGTGAGGATCAGGGCTTGCAGAATGTCCGACAGGGAAATAATACCCACAATACTATCTGCTTCATTTACCACCACCAGCCGATGGACCTGCAAAGAGAAAAGCAGGACACGTGAAAATTAACATTTAAAAAAGGTTTAAAATGGACATGAGAAATAATGTCCTGTCATGTTTTTATATGATCAACACATCCCTCCAGCCTGGGGAATAGCAGTGAGACATCATCTCTACAAAAACATTAGACAGTGGCTGGGTGTGCTGGTGTGCACCTGTGGTCCCAGTTACTTGGTGGGAGGATTGCTTGAGCCTGGGAAGTGGAGGTTGCAGTGGGCCAAGATCGCACCAGTGCACTCTAGCTTGGGTGACAGAGTGAGATCCTGTCTCAGAAAAAGAAAAAAGCAACACACACACACACATCCCATAAATGAATAAATGAGGGAAAGTAGCCACAGACAGACCCATACGATGACCTTAGGCTCTAATGTTCAATGTGTTACTGTCTGATTACCTGGAAGACCTACTCCGTATTAAAAAGTCACAGCCCTGGTGAAAAACAGGGACACAGGCATGAGAAGGAAAGAGGGGAAAGCTATCTATCTCCTGTCTCTAATGATACTGATTTGTCTCTAATTCAAGCTGATTTGCTTGCTTACTTTTAAGAAAAATGAGCTAGCTATGCCCTGCTGAGTTTTCAATTTTCAAAATATTAATATAGAAAAGATACAACTCAAACACGAAACACAACGTAGCTATCATACATTGTTAAACATAACTGTTTTAATTTCTAAAAGTTGTATATCAGTTTCTAATAACTATCAGGTACTTGTCTTATTAATACATGGGAGAGAAGTCCAGATGATGACAGAAACGAAGAAACAAGGTCGCAGCTCTTACAAGGGTTTTATTTTCTGCAGTGTCTTTTCTCTGTGAAGTTCATATATTAAGAATCGCATCCAAGAGGATAAATGAGCTATAATGAAGTGGGATAGACTACGTCCATCTCTAGTTTTCTACTCTGAAATCTCTGATGAGTGACGGCAGAGCGTTTTGAGGTGTTTCTGTAACAGGCCTTTCACCCGCAGGAAGGGAGCGGCGTTGCTATTCTCTTAAAAGCTTCATGATGGCCGGGCGCGATGGCTCACGCCTGTAATCCCAGCACTTTGGGAGGCCGAGGCGGGCGGATCACCTGAGGTCAGGAGTTCAAGACCAGCCTGACCAATATGGTGAAACCCTGTCTCTACTAAAAATACAAAAATTAGCCAGAAGTGCTGGTGGGCACCTGTAGTCCCAGCTACTCAGGAGGCTGAGACAGGAGAATTGCTTGAACCTGGGAGGTGGAGGTTGCAGTGAGCTGAGATCGTGCCACTGCACTCCAGCCTGGGCGACAGAGCGAGACTGTGTCTTAAAAAAAAAAAAAAAAAGGCTTTGGAACCTGGAGCCGGGTGCGGTGGCTCACGCCTGTAATCCCAGCACTTTGGGAGGCTGAGGTGGGCGGATCACAAGATCAAGTGCTCGAGACCAGCCTGACCAACATGGTGAAACCCCGTCTCTACCAAAACCACAAAAATTAGCTGGGCGTGGTGGTGCATTCCTGTAATCCCAGCTACTCAGGAGGCTGAAGCAGGAGAATCGCTTGAACCTGGGAGGCGGAGGTTGTAGTGAGCTGAGATTGCGCCACTGCACTCCAGCCTGGGCGACAGAGTGAGACTTTGTCTCAAAAAAAAAAAAAAAAAAAAAAAAAAAAAGGCTTCAGAACCTGGGCCACGGCAGCTCTGTGCCGGCTGCGCCCTGGGAGACCCTCTCTGTATTGAACAGTGATACCCCTGATAGAAAACAGGGACATAGGAAGGAGATAGGAAGAGGGGGAAATCCAGTTTTTGTATTTTGTCTCAAATAATACTGTTTGGGTGATGTTTCTGTCATAGGTTGCTTTAGGTTAATAATAATAATAATAATAATGGCTTGGTCATCTTTCCCGTGGCAGTCAACATAAATTTCTTTTAAATGTTTCTCTAAAAAAGCTTTCAGGTTCATCAGTAATCCTGTGATATAACACAGCACAATTATTTGCTAACTATAATCACACATTAAAATGATAGTTCACATTTGTCTTCTACACTGAAGACATTTTATTGGTTACATTCAATAGTGGATATTAGCCGGGTGCGGTGGCTCATGCCTGTAATCCCAGCACTTTGGGAGGCCGAGGCGGGCAGATCACGAGGTCAGGAGATCGAGACCATCCTGGCTGACAAGGTGAAACCCCGTCTCTACTAAAAATACAAAAAATTAGGCGGGCGCCTGTAGTCCCAGCTACTCGGGAGGCTGAGGCAGGAGAATCGCTTGAACCTGGGAGGCGGAGCTTGCAGTGAGCCGAGATCACGCCACTGCACTCCAGCCTCGGCGACAGAGCAAGACTCCGTCTCAAAAAAAAAAAAAAAAAATAGTGGATATTAAACAGATATCTTTTGAACTCTGAAGGCTAAGGGAAACCATCTCATCCAGAGAATTAAGCAGTTCTCTCAGACTGAAATGACTCCCCACGTATTTTCTTGTCATCTGCTGCTGAGTCAAACTTATGTATGTCCTTTGTTGGAGGTACCTAAAAGTTAGTGTTCTATTTATGTCATATAAACAAATGGAATCATCACTGATACTGTACACCCTTCTCCTAGCTACATTAAAGCTAAAAACTGTTATTTTTTTGGTCCTTCTGTGAGGAGTCATCTTGTGAAGGAATTTTCTTTTTAGGCGGAGTCTTTTATTTAGGGTGTTACACAAAGTACATTTGAAAATCTTATAAGCAGTAAAGTCTAAGGAAATTGGACTGCTGAGGTGCAGGAAACTGGGAGTTACTAGATTATTTGCTATTTATCTAATTGAGGAAAGAGAGATACTGGTGGGAAGAGAGAAAAAAGTTTTACTGACTTATCATTCACTTTGTTAAAATATATATTACGCACTTTAAATTTTGAATTCATAAATATTCAAATGGAACTTAAAGCTTCTGGGATTTTTGTTTTCTCAAAACAAAATGTATCCATAGATACAGATACATCGATCTATTTAGAGACAGGGTCTTGCTCTGCTGTCGAGACTGGAGTGCAGTGGCACCGCCACAGCTCACTGAAATATCAAGCTCTTGGATTCAAGGGATCCTCCTTCCTCAGCTTCCCTATTAGCTATGACTACAGGTCCAAGCCACCATGCCCAGCTAATTTATTTTTATTTTTAGTAGAGACAAGGTCTTATTATGTCGTCCACACTGTCAAACATATATAGTTTAAACTATGAATGTATCTTACCAGTTTATTGGATTCACCTATGATACCAGGACTTTTCCATTCAATTCAATTCAACAAACTTTTAGAGATCGCCTATATGCCAAGTAGTGTGCCAGGTTCTGGGACAGGAGGGAATCCCATCGACTGAACCTGGAGGCTGCCTCGCTGGGCCCTTCCTGAGATTCAGGCTTCCAGAGGCATCATTCACTACTGGGGACTTGTTGCAGTGGACGTCGGGGGAGCAGGACTGGGAAAGCCGTCTCACCTCAGCTCTTACTATTCTGTCCACGATGGTCTCCAGTATTTCCAGCTTATTGCACTTCACAACACCTTCAAAATACTGTGAACGGTGCTGAAGGGCCTGGGTCACCGTGATATCTAGGTTATTGTATGTTTTCTCAGCAGCAAGATTCTGTAATGAAGCAAGAGAATAAATTATATCCTTTCATTTCAGTTCACTTCAATGACCAAAATTAGTGAGCTTAAGAGAGCCTGATTTCTAAAAACTTTAATGCTTATCTGAATTTAGTACCTGCATACATCAGACGTTCTTTCTGGCTTACGACATGCCATTGCTACTGTTATTTTGTCAACATATCAATCACAATTAAAGATAACCATGTTACAAGGTCTACCTTCCTTACGAAGCAACATTGTTAAACTTTGACAGTATATCCTGCCAAAGACTGCCCCCCAATTTTTACCCTCTAATGCTCTCTACCATGCATGGATGAAATCTCTGGCAAGGTGGGCTGACATCTGTAAAGGGTGGTGAGTGCCACAGGGCTAGAAATGCTGCAGCAACGGACCTTCTCAACAAGCTCCCTGGGGAACAAGGTTTCTGCTGGGAAGGCTTTGGGGGACCCATGGGGATCAAGCAACCAGAGGAAGAACAGGCTTGAGGAGCCCCATGGATCCAAATGGCTTCATGGGGCTCTCATTCATTTTAGCGGGTCCCACTCAACCAAAATGCCGATCAGCATATTTCTCGGTGACTGTTATGTTTAACATAATAGTGTGAAGCAAAGGGTTTGAGGCAGCTGCAGAAGAATGTTTAATGTGGGGTCAGTATTGTGGCAAAAAATGGCGTGCACATTTGGGGCTATAAAGTGTCAGTCCCCTTTTCTTCTTTAGAACAGTGGCTCCCAATCACTAAGCAATGGGATGCGCCCGACAAAGGAGCCATGAGTCCACGTGTGCACTGCGCACGCGTCTAGAGGCGAATAAATCAGGCCTCCTACGTGGAAACAAGAACATTTAAAATATATACACATGCTGTGGCAGTGCATAAAATATGCATGTATTGTAAAGATGAAAAATTATAAAATGCTACTAATATATAATTGGTTGCTAAACCAATGCAGATTAAAAGTACAATTACTATAGAAGGTCTATAAAATTCTGATAATATCCTCACACCCCAAAAGGTTAGAAATTATTAAATTAAGAAACAAGATAAAAACATAAAAACACATTACATGAATGTTTAAAATGCATTCTAGGTGACAGATTGAACAAAATTAAAATACTTACAATTACATCAAATTTGGAATAAATATCTACAACTTTTCCTAAAAATGAAAAATATATGTTAGAAAAATGTCTTAAGGGACAAAAAGAAATTCATTTAAAATCAGTTTTAATGACATAATTACTAAAAGTTAAACACTGATAAATAACCTTGTCTATTTTAAATGAAAACTTAGATATGAAATCATATTTTAATGGACATATGAAAATAAACCAATTAAACTTTTTTTACGATCCTGCGTGCCCCTTGGTGCTGAATTTATTCACCATACCCAAGTTTTCATTTTCCCCACGTATCTCCTGTGCCAGGTCATCTTACAATAATTGCACCCTGAGATAAACAATTATTTCTGCCTGTCAGCGCCAAACACACAAACCTGACTCATCCACAACAGGCAGAGCTGATATTCGTCTTTCCACAAATATGTTCAAGGCTTTGATGATGGGAGTGTCTGGATGTATGAAGGCAATGTTGTGGTACGTTCCTATTCCAAGCTCATCCAGGTTCTGCTTCATGAAGGCAGGCTTTGGCATATCAGACATCTAAACGGAAGATAAACGCAAACGTTCTAGACCCAGAACACACTCTTGTCATGTTCAAAGGTCCAGATTTGAATGAAAAAGTATGTCCAACAAATTAAAGTTAGTTTTTTCTAACAGTCTACCTGGATGCCTGAATTAACATGAGAAAATTACAAAGGACTGTATCTTTTGTTTGAACCAGTTTGTAGGTCTATGCTTCTATTTAACTATTCACAAACTATTGCAGAGCATTGATACTGTAATCTTTTTCCATCTCCTCTTCACTCACTAAGAACGCGTATAGAACCAGGGAAGAACAGGTCTATTTGGGATATTAAGACCTGTAAGCCACGAAGAATTGAATCCTTTATTCTTAATTGTTCATGTTAAATTCCTGGTCCTGCTGTCAGGATTAAGTAATATTTATTAAGAACCTATACATTTCCAAACCCAAAGCATTTGACGGCAGCTGTCTGAGCCACTGCTAAGCTAGTCCTCACGCCACCCGCCTCTACATCCTGAATTCTCCTTGGAGAGCTCCAATTTTTGTCTACTAGGAACAAAGAAGCCAGCTGAACAGAATTAAAAGAATCTTTAAAAATTAACTTTTCATGGGCTGTTTTAAAGGAGGAGGGATATGGCAGGAGAGAAAAGTCTAGGATCATGTTTGAGTATAACAAAATAAGGTCTACGGTTTCAAAAATCCACCTTTTATAAAGGGTATAGTTGATTCCATCCTCCTGGTGTACCTTATAATTATCAGGAAAAGATGAACAATTAGAAGAAACAAAATGTTCAAGTCAAAGAGTTCATCAATATTCAAATCATGAGACTCCTAGAAATTTAGAGAAAAAAAAAAAGAAAGCCCTATTAGGTCATCTAGTCCATCTCAACATAGCGAATTCCCTGTTGCACACTATAGGCTTAGGCTAATTTTCAAACGTCTTGAAGGGTAATGCTCCTTTTTTCTCAGAAAATGATCTCATAATTCAGTAAAAATCAGGCTCTGAAATGTCTTTAAGTTCTATATTTTTAACTGAAAACCTTTAGTTAGCTGAATATTCTGGTAGCATGATTCTAATTACCATATTGGCCCAAATATGAGGCAGTACTGGGCAGAGGCAACTTCCTCTCCTTTTTATAGAAGATAAAAATCTGAAGCAGCTCTGCAAAAGAATGATCTCACGCTTTTACTCCCTCTTGTGCAACAGCACACTAGCAGAAATAGTTTGGGCTTGGGAGTCAGAGAGACTCCCGGGTTTGCAATCTACCACTTAGTATCCACATGACTGGGGGCACGTTTCCCAGCCAGGTGTCCTGTGTATGCAAGGTATGCAAACGCCTCCCTCCCAAGGCCCCTGCGTGGAGAAAAGCATGGGGAGTGAGGAACGCTTGAAAGGGATCCTGGCTCTACCGCTTCCCAGCCACGCAACCTTGGCAAAGCTACTTAACCTTTCTTAGCTGCATCCCTATAAAATAGGATTAATAAAAATACCTACCTGATAGGGTAGCAGCGAGGATGAGATTATGTCAAGTGCTTAGAACAGTGCCGGACATACAGTAATCAGCTCTCATGATTAATATTATTTAAAAATGATGACTCTAAGGATTAAGTGAGCTGCAGGCCTGGCACGTGGGGGCCCTGAATACATCCTTCCCACCCCATGCTCCCTCTGTTCCTATTAAACTTCAACTACTAAAGCGGCTGCATTCCCAGATGTCCAGTCTGATAAACAATGCGGATGCATCCCTAATCCCTTTTTCCTAGATTATCGCCTTTATTAAACTTCAGACTTGAGTTTTTTTGTAAATTACTCTTCCCTACCTTCTTTCTTAGCACAGCATGGTTAAATAAATGTTATTTATATATGTAAATGATTAAAATACAAGACTGGGTTGATTGACAAGGTATTTCTCTCCATCACTAAGCCCTCTGTGCTTCTGTCAGCAAAAGGGGTCCCTCAAGCTGCCTCCAGGGCAGGAGCTTCAGCTCCTTCACACTGCACCGGAACGCTATGTTAGGTCCTTAGGTGAAGCCATGGGGAGGAAAATGGGAAAGCTAATTTGAAGTACATTTTTAATATCTGTTACAGTCTTGGAAAAACAACTCTTCAAAGTACCTCTTCAGAACGATTAAGACCTTCTACTGGTTCTATTTGACTGATTACTTACAACCTCAAATTCCATGCATGTAATTAAAAGACAAACATAAAAAGCCTCTTATAAACTCTCTGTTCTTCCTGAGTCTCTTTTAATGTTTCCAACCAAACAGGCTCAAAGTTCTGGATGACTACGGAGCCAGGTCATTTCAAGTAGCTGAGAAAACCTACAGGTTAATACAGGCCTTATTTGGACCAACATGGTATTCTCTTGCCAAAATTTTATTTGCTTCGGGTTTTTCTATCACTGCTGCAGTTTATAAGATAATCTTGAGGAAAGCATTTTTTGGAACATGTTTCTAAAACCATGACACCAGTAAAAGCAACATAAAGCAATTTTTGCTCTAGATATTAGTTCAGTTTATCTTGTACAACAGTCCTCAATTAGACTTGCAGATTGCCTTATTTCCCCTCATATGCTGGTGACAAATGTTTTAATTTAAAGAGAGAATGCCGAGTTTTGTTGTTAAAATTGTTTTGATACTTGCACTAAAAGGTGATTCTTTTAAATTGGAATCAACTTTAAGAATGTACAATTCAGAGAGTAGTAAGTTGAGAAACTGAAGTTTAGAAAGGGAGACCTCAAAACTAACAATTTCTTCTACTGAGGGTAACAGGAGCCAATTTACTTGAAGTACATTATTTAATAAGTAAATGCAATTATGTCTTTAGAAACGCTAAAAACTACTTACAAAAAGCTGGAGGAACTTGAGGATTCTTTTGTGGGTAAGTATATAAAGTGCATTCCCACTGATAGGGTCAATAACGGGCAATCTGTGGATTTTATTTTTGATCAAGGAGTATACAGCATCGAAGAGGCTGTGGGAGAAGTCATTAAAGTTGTTAGGAGGCTTTCGAGAAAAATCAGAACACTTTGGACTACCCCTGCCTTAAAGCACTTCCAGTGTTTTTATTATTGCAATAATAACAGTGTTTTGGAAGAGTTTTAAATTAGAGATCTCAGCAAATTTTTCATTTTTCACAATCTATGTTAACATATCTCAAATACAAGTGCAAGCTACAAATCTCTAGAAGAGGAGATTTTTTTTGGTTTGTTTTTTTGAGACAGGGTCTTGCTCTGTTGCCTGCCGTCATGGCTCACTGCAGCCTTGACCTCCCGGGCTCAGGTGATCCTCCCACCTCAGCCTATTTGAGTAGCTGGGACTACAGGCATGCGCCACCTTTCTTTTTTGTAGACATGGGGTTTTGCCACGTTGCCCAGGCTGCTCTCGAACTCCTGAGCTTAAGCGATCCACCCACCATGGCCTCCCATAGTGCTGGGATTACGGGCATGAGCCCTTGCGCCCAGCCAGGAAGAGGAGTTTTTTTAAAGAGTGTATTTAGTGATTTTATTTGAAAGACGATGAAACCTAAATCCTTAGAAAAGCAAACAGATACATCGTATTGGCAAGAGAGCAAAGGCTGTAGCAGCAAGCTCTCTGCATTGGTGAGTGGGCAAACTGGCTCTACCCCGGGCCGGCCCGGCTAGGAGATATTGCAGGGCCAACATTTCTGTTCTACTTGGTCCCTCTCCTGGGACTGCCAGTAAGAAGGTTGTTATACCTTTTTGTTAGGACTTGGAAATAAAATGAAAATAAATATTTTAATCTTTCTCTGTACTGGATTTGAGTTTGAAAGATGCTTTTACACCAATATGGAAATGTATCACAGCCAAACCAGAAGGCTTGGATAAAAAAGGACGGGCCAGACGACTACACAGAAGGCAGCCCATGCTCTCACCACATCTGAACCGACATCTAACACACACTGATGTTTAAACGCTAGTGTGGAGCAGAATTGCCAAGGGAGTTGTTTAAATGTGTATTCCTGGGCCCTATCCTGATTTAGCAGGTCAGGGGTAAAAGCCCAGGAATCTGCAATTTCAACACGCCCCCCAGATTGGCCGAGATCTTCGTGATGGTTTAGTATGACCCTATTACTAGACCATTATCCATCCTTAGCACCAGCAACGGCTGTGATTTTTGTAGTGTTCCTAGATTTACTGAATGCGTACAGTGTAGCTGGAATTAAGGAGGCAGGCCCTGTTTGGAATGAAGAACATGTTTATTTGTGTCTTTCTTTCTATCATGGTGATAAAACACATACATCTGAATGAATGTTTTCAAAGAAAAAAAAAACAAGTTTACCTTGCATCTGGAGATATATTCACTAAAGGCTTAAATGTTTCTTGTAAATAAAGCTCTGTATTTATAGAAAGAAAATATGCAGTTAGTAACACATTTGCTGTTTGCAGTTATAACACAAATTCAAATACCCTTCAGTTTACGGTTAATAGTTAGAAGGATTAAAAACTCAAATAAAAAGAAATTTAATTTGCCTAAAACTCCTGTGTTAATCATAGTTATGGCTATTTTAAACAACTTCCAAACTGTTTTCAGGATGTTGCATTTGAAGAAAAATTAAATATTAAAAAACAATGTGACAGTAAGTGTTTATAAAATCAGGAAAAACAAAGAAATCTGATAAAAGAGCAATACCAGCAGAGGTCACTAGAATGCTACCAGGTTCACCTTACTCTCAAGAAATGAAGCAATTATGAAATTTAAAAAATCAATTTCCATAAGTTATAAGATAAAATCAGTTATGACAAACTTTGTTCTTTAAATATTTTTAAGTATTATTTTACCAAATTGATGCTCAAAACCTACTGCATTGTGGGCATCTTTCCAGCACATAAAAACTGTTTTTTTCTGAAGATATCAACTGCAATTAATTTGCTTTTCCAAGGTTTCTTTTTTTTTCTGAGACAGTCTCACTCTGTCACTCAGGCTGGAGTGCAGTGGCATGATCTGGGTTCACTGCAATCTCTGCCTCCCAGGTACAAGCAATTCTCCCACCTCAGCCTCCCAAATAGCTGGGACTAAAGGTGCACGTCACCACACCCTGCTAATTTTTTTTGTATTTTTAGTAGAGATGGGGTTTCATGATGTTGGCCAGGCTGGTCTCGCACTCCTGACCTCAAGTGATCCACCTACTTCAGCCTCCCAAAGTGCTGGGATTACAGGCATGAGGTCCTGTGCCCAGCCTAATTTTTTTTTTTTTTTTGAGAAGGAGTTTTGCTCTGTTGCCCAGGCTGGAGTACAGCAGCATCATCTTGGCTCACTGCAACCTCTGCCTCCCAGGCCCAGGCGAGTCTCCTGCCTCAGCCTCCCGAGTAGCTGGGAGTACAGGTGCGCACCACCACGCCTGGCTACTTTTTTGTATTTTTAGTAGAGACAGGGTTTCACCATGTTGGCTAGGCTGGTCTCGAACTCCTGACCTCAGGTGATCCACCCGCCTCGGCTTCCCAAAGTGCTGGGATTATAGGCGTGAGCTACTGCGCCTGGCTCTAATTTTGTATTTTTAGTAGAGAGAGGGTTTCACCATGTTGGTCAGGCTGGTCTTGAACTCCTGATCTCAAGTGATCCACCTGCTTTGGCCTCCCAAAGTGCTGGGATTACAGGTGTGAGCCACCGCACCTGGCCTTGCTTTACCAAAGTTTCTATACAGAAGGCGTTTAAGAATATTTTGGCATTATTATTACTACAAAATATCATGTAATGTCAAAACGTAAACATACTTAAACCTTGGTCTATCAGTACTTGTACAGTAGAACTGGACAAGAAGCTGGTGTTACACAATCACTGCACAACAGACTGTACAGATCCCATGCCAAATTTGTTTAGCTTGGTTTGACAAAGCCGTAATAAACCAAACCCATCACTCAGTGAAACTTCTAAATCGTATGGATTTGAAAGGGCCCCTGGGGGTGTAAGAGAACTCCAAGATGTATTCTGATTTCACAGCCAGCTACAAAGGTTGCTTCTCCTATCAAGCATATTATGGGAAACACAGAACCAAACTCTTCAATTTTGAATTCAAAATTTTCCTTCAGTTGGTCCCTCCATTTCTACCAGTGTTTCCTTGAGCACCCTCCAAAGGCTCCGCTGTTGCAGACAGACTGGGTCTGCCGTGATTCCCACCCCCGGTCCTCTCCACCAACCCACCATGACAAGTGTCAGTGAGACCACCACCTTACAATCATGAAATGCGAATTTAAGAAATGGTTCTATGGCAGAAAAGAGTATCATGATTTTACAGGGTGAATGTCAATGTGACAATGAAGAGAATATGGTCTTCAAATTACTTCCATGCTATTTGCTCCAAACCATCTAGTTTGAGGTTCATTTGTCCTAAGTTTCTCCACAATTTGTAAAGAAACAATTACTAGGTTTAAATAAGAACAGATGCTTGCTTTGGTTCAAGTTAGGCATGCCTCTGATGCATTTCTTAATACCAAGGCAAATCTCTGAGGGCTTAGACTTAGTAGTGAGCGGTGGCCCCATTGTGGGCAGCGAGGTGGGGCTTGGTTAGCTCATTCATCTTCACATTCCTGGCCCTAGGATAAGGCCTTGCCTGCTGAAGGTGTCCTATACATGTCTATAAACAGAAGGGACAATACTTATATTGTTCAGCTTTAGTACAGTAGCATACTATCAAAATTAACAGAAATAAAGAGAATGTTTTATATAACATTTTATGGAGCAGAGAGAAAAGGATCTGCAAAATGAAAACATACTTTTCATACTAAACATAGCTTTCCCGATACTAAAAGATTTTAAACATCCAATAGTGCTTACCCCTCCATGTTTCAATTTTATGTTCCTCTAATTCATAAATCTGTACCTGCAAATAAAAAAATTCTTATTTATAAATATACATATACAACATAGAAAAAATATTTGGAAAATGAAACAAAACATAGCTTGGATAATAGCATTTTCTATTCGCAATTAGAAAATGAGGCGGCCAGGTGCGGTTGCTCATGCCTGTAATCTCAGCACTTTGGGAGATCAAGGTGGGCAGATCACCTGAGGTCAGGAGTTTGAGACCAGCCTGGCCAACATGGTGAGACCTCATCTGTACTAAAAATACAAAAATTAGCCAGGCATATTGGTGGGTGCCTGTAGTCCCAGCTACTCAGGAGGCTGAGGCAGGAGAATTGCTTGAACCCAGGAAGCAGAGGTTGCAGTGAGCCGAGATGGTACCACTGCATTCCAGCCTGGGCAACAGAGTGAGACTCTGTCTCAAAAAAAAGAAAGTGAGGTGAGATATAGAGAAAAAAATGTATCTCAAGTTTTTTTTTTTTTTTGAGACAAGGTCTCATTCTGTCATCCGGGCTGGAGTGCACAAGTGCGATCATGACTCACTGCAGCCTCAACCTCCCAGGCTTAAGTAATCCTCTCAACTCAGCCTCTGAGTAACTTGGACTACAGATGTACACCACCATGCCTGGCTAATTTTTGTGGGTTTTTTTTTTTTTTTTTTTTTTTTTTTTGTAGAGATGGGGTTTCACCATGTTGCCCCACTGGTCTCAAACTCCTGGGCTCAAGTGATCCACCCTTCTCAGCTTCCCAAAGTGCTGGGACTACAGGCGTGAGCCACTGTGCCTGGCCTGTATCTACAGATATTAAGAAAAACTTTGGGCTGCATATTTAGACATAACTGCTTTTTTGCAATTTTGATTTCATATTCTACTGCTAAGATTTCTTATATGGGATTTGCTGCATTTCACAGAAATCTATCTATTCAAAAATCACACTCATGCTGATTTTGCTAGTTCAAAAGCAGAGATATGACCACTATAAGGAAAGCCCGTGTTCACTTGCATTGGTAATATTGAAGAAATAATACACTTCATGGGAAATAAATACAGGATATTTACAAAATCTTTGGTAAAACTTCCTAAGAGTATGGTTGTGTTTGTTTTTCGGAGACAGAGTCTCCCTCTGTCGCCCAGGCTGGAGTGCAATGGCGCGATCTCGGCTCACTGCAACCTCCGCCTCCTGGGTTCAAGCGATTCTTGTGCCTCAGCCTCCTGAGTAGCTGGGATTACAGATGCCCGCTGCCACACCCAGCTAATTTTTGTATTTTTAGTAGAGACAGGGTTTCACTATGTTGGCCAGGCTGGTCTCCAACTCCTGACCTCAAGTGATCCACTTACTTCGGCTTCCCAAAGTGCTGGGATTACAGGCGTGAGCCACTGTGCCCGGCAAGAGCATGTTTTATGAAGAAACTCATTTTTGTATTTGATGTAAGAATTATTGGATAATACTGAGCATTACGCATAAAGCAGTATTAATTGAATTAACCTACACCTTTTAAGTACCCCAAATAGGACTAGTTAAATAAGAGTATGCAATCCTGTCCTTCCCCCCACCCTCATGAACAAACAAACAGAAACTAAAAACACAAAACCAAGCAGGTTGAATCTCAGATATCACAAAGTTAGATGAAGGACAAAAGTGGTTTTTAAGCTACGCTCTTTCCAGAACCATTGTACTAGGGACCAGAGAGTTCTGCTACTAAAATCAGCCAGGAGCTGTCTCTTCCTAATTAGCAGGAACATGTCAAAACGGAATTTATTTCACTTTAATGACTCATTTTTTTCTGCTTTAAAATCACAAAGTACATATAATTCTTGTTCTGCAATTGCTGGGGTAACTGAATTAAGCTCTACCACCTCAACAGGCCCGCAGAGATAAGCAAAACTTACAGAACGTCTAGCTAATAAATATGTAGAATTCTGCTAAGCCAAGGAATTCCGAAAGCTGAATAAAGAATCTATTTCCTTTTATTTTTCCTGAGAATTCCTTCTTTGAGTTTCATACATATAACTTACAGTAAAGAGAGTTTTGTACTGAAGTTCCCTGCATGTTATATAGATTTGGAAAATCACCATCAGCACACCATACCAAAAAAGAAAAAACTGAAAACATTAAAAATCTTAAAATACACACATATACCTACACACATACATAGATACGTACAGCTCCAACTACTGACATAGGAACTGGTGCCACTTACCATAGGTGATTTATAGTATCTATGTAGTATATTTATGAAATCTGTAATTGTTAGCATTCCTGGAACAAAGAATTACATGTTACAAATAAAACCATGAAAACATTTTTAAAAATTTCAAATGACAAGTGAGCCTAGAATATATGCTAGAAGAGCTTATAAAATATACTTCGAAGATATCAAGCAGAGTTTAATATATTATTTAAAACTATTGATGTGTTAATTGTGTATACCAAACTGGATATACAAATTTAGCTGAAATTAAACCTGACAGTAAGTACTACGGAACTAACCAGAGAATTTGGCAAATCAATGAGAGAAAACTCATTAATTGATACAAATTTGAAAAAAGAATTGCAGTTACAGGTAAATAATTTTAAGTACTTTAAGATAAAGTATTCCGTAAGCTTTAGAAACGTGACAATTCTGGGCACTTGGATTGTTTCCCAAGAAGCATTCTAAACACAATGGTTTTAACAGTTGCCATTTATTGAGTGCTTTTGACGTGCTAGACACCAGGATGATACGGATGAAAAAGACATGAACTTCTTCCCTGATGAAATTAAAACCTAGAAGCAGACATAACGATCATTTCAAAATAACGTGAAGAATACTAAGAGAGACAATGGCATTGTCTGCTGTGATTCATAAGATAAGTAACGATGGCATTTAGATAGCTGTAAGTTACACAACAGTTTTAACAGTATAACAATGGTCTGGCAGAGACATCAGTCATGTTTACAGCATCTAATTTGCCCTGTCAAAAAGGTGTGCACTAGCGAGATGAGTGCGGGGCCCAGGGATGCCATATGCCATGTGTGGCCCAAAGTGGGGCAGCTGGCTCACATCTGACTGTGGTGTCCTACGTGGGGTTTGTTCATTGGGCTGGTAAAGACACATAAGCTCTTCAGAGAGCCAAAAAGTTGCTAAATTAAAAGAAATTCAACAACAACAACAACAAAAGCTCCATAAAAGTTACAACAGTGTGTAGAGTTCTCAATGAGGCGGCAAAAAAAAAAAAAAAAAGAAAAAAAGGACAACAGTGTTTGGACCTTACTAGCACGTCCACCTTCTTACCCAGTATGTAAAAGCAAGGAATTTTTTTTTTTTTTTTGACAGGGTCTCGCTCTGTCACCCAGGCTGGAGTACAGTGCAGCGATCATGGCCTTGACCTCCTGGGCTCAAGTGATCCTCCCACCTCAGCCTCCTGAGTAGCTAATTTTTGCATGTTTTTGTAGAGATGAGGTCTTGCTATGTTGCCCAGGCTGGCCTCGAACTGCTGGGCTCAAGCGATCTCCCTGCCTTGGCCTCCCAAAGTGCTGAGATTACGGGCATGGGCCACTGCACCCTGCCAGCAAGAATGTTCTTTAACTTGGAAACATGTTTACTAGGTTGAATTCCAAACCGGCATCTATTAAAATACTTTAGGCTTTCTGCTTTCAAGGTTTCCATTTTCGATTTTCCTCAGGCCCACACTGCTTACCTACAAAACTTTGTTTTTTACTCTCCCACAGTGGCGCTGCTCGGACACCGTTGGCTACCAAAGCAAAGAAGGCCTTTTTAACCTGAAGAAAAAGAGGAGAAACAAAACATACTTTCAAAGTCCAGGAAGAAAAATACCTTTTTTTTTTGAGACAAGGTTTCACTCTGTTGCCCAGGCTGGAGTGCAGTGGCACCATCTTGGCTCACAGCAACCTCTGCTTCCTGGGCTCAATTGATTCTCTCACCTCAGCCTCCCGAGTAGCTGGGATGACAGGCATGTGCCACCATGCCCGGCTAATTTTTGTATTTTTGGTAGAAACAGGGTTTCACCATGTTGGCTAAGCTCGTCTCGAACTCCTGACCTCAAGTGATCCATCCACCTCGGCCTCCCAAAGTGTTGGGATTACAGGCGTGAGCCACCGCACCTGGCCAGAAAAATACCCTTAACATATTTGACCAAGTCTTATCAGTTATCTTCCATAATAAGTTTCGTAAGTTTGATAAGCTAAAAATAATGGAATTTATTAACATTAGCAAAAATCTTTTTGAATTACACCTAAAGGCATACAGGGATTAGAAATTATTTTTTGAAATTGAAATAATGCAATTAACTTCTTTTTTTTTTCTTATTGTATCTGAAGACTCTTGTCTACATACATACTTTATGTAATTAAAACCATACAAAAGAATTAAACTTCAGGGTCTAATATCTCCTACATGTGGTTATTAATTCATCTGAAAACACTGAAGTTGTATCAAATTACCTGAAATAAAAATTTATTTTTAGTATTTTCAATGAGAAAACAAGCATACTTTCTCAGTTCCCAAGGTTGAGGAAAAAAAAAGGTATGAAAGATACAATATATTTTTGCATTTTATACCTTCCAGACACAAATGGGTCAGGCACTAACATATCATATCTCACTTAACACTCATAACAAATATCTTTTGGGATACCATAAGGTATCATACTTGAAGATTTATTAATAACCAAAAGTTCAGTGCTGAAAATGATCCTCTAAATTCAGACAGCAAATAAGTACAGGGAAAATGTCCAACCTTATTAATAACCCAAGAAATGCAAATTAAAACAAAGTGTCATTTGTAGATGCTAAATAAGCCGATATTTTAAAGTTGCAGCTCCTAATACAAGGGCTATTATAAAACCACTGGTGGCACCAAACACTGAGAAAATATTTTTTCTAACACAGCTAGTGTCAAGAATCACAAAGTATTCATATTGCTTGTGCAACAGCTTTTTCTCTTTGAATTATTTTAGGAGTGGGATTCCTGAATCAACAATGTTCCATGTGACATTACTTCTAATCTTGAAAACTGAAAAAAAAATCCACCTCTCAAACAAAACTTATCAAATACTAGCATACCAATGAGAAAAAAAATCAAATAATAATTAACATAATTATGATGTTTTCATAACTATATCAAGAAAGGTCTATGACAATAAAAATGTAACTGTAAAATTATACATTATGATACTTAGAAAAATATGTGTTTAAATGGAAACAATGAGAAACAAGCAAAAAAAGATTAAACTGATACATTAAGAAGCTGGGATAGTAAAATGTTTCTTTAAAAAAAGTGTTACATTATGGTATGGTTATGTTTTTTTTTTTTTAACTAAAAGTAAATTATTCTCTTCTCACTCACTACTCAAAAAAAAACCTTGTTGGCTGGGCACAGTGGCCCACGCCTGTAATCCTAGCACTCTGGGAGGCCCCCCGAGATGGGCAGATCACCTGAGGCCAGGAATTCGAGACCAGCCTGGCTAACATGGTAAAACCTCGTCTCCACTAAAAATACAAAAATTAGCTGGGCATGGTGGCGCACACCTGTAATCCCAGCTACTCAGGAGGCTGAGGCACAAGAATCGCTTGAACCTGGGAAGTGGAGGCTGTAGTGAGCCGAGAACACGCCACTGTACTCCAGCCTGAGTGAAGAGTGAGACTCTGTCTCAAACAAGCAAACAAACAAATGAACAAACAAAACAAACAAAATCCTTGTTAACTTACTAATGAAAACAACTGCAGGAACCTAGAGCAGATGACTTTAGGACTAATAACTTAGTACCTATTTCTTCCTTTATTGTGATATATTTTGCCTTATGTGGAACTGCTCATGCATGTACCTAGTTCACCTACACAAGAATATAGGGACTACTGGTGCGTTGAGGGAGCTCATCAATTATTTCACGCATTTATTTTAACCCGTCCAGCGCTGAGTCCTGAATATAGCAGGGATTCTAGACATTAGTCAAATGACTACAAGAGAATGACGATGAGGAAATGAGTAGAGCCAACCCAGTGATGTGGGAGAGCAACAGTAACTGAGCAGCATCCAGAAACTCATGAACTGTTTCTGAAACACACCTTTATCAAAAAGGCACCAAAATACACTGCTTTTGTAACTAAATGGCATCCAGGAAAGGTGTGCCCATTTGAATGGTTTGCTATTTGTACCCTGGGCATCTCTGATTGTGGTCCTAGAATATATTATAGAAGAATATAGTGGAAAAGTCGCATGTAAATAGATTTTAAAACACACTGAATATCTGGTAAGTTTGCTTTTCTAAACTGGTTGGAATAGAATGGGAATGGGGGCACCTTTTATGTTTTATTTGTATTTATTTATTTTTTTTGGAGACAGGGTCTCACTTTTTCACCCAGGCTGAAGTATAGTGGTACCTTGGCTCATTGTTTCCTCACTGCACCCCTCCCCGCTGCCCCTGCCGGGCTCAAGTGATTCTCCCACCTCAGCCTTCCAAGTAGCTGGGACCACAGGCACATGCCACCATGTCCAGATAATTTTTTTTCTTGTAGAGGCAGGATCTTGCTATGTTGCCCAGACTGGTCTCAAACTCCTGGGCTTAAGTGATCCTCCTGTCTTGGCCTCCCAAAGTGTTAGGATTACAGGCATGAGCCACTGCACCTGGCCAGGGGCATCTTTTAAAAGCACAAATTGCTTACTGTTTTCTTCAAAATGACAGATTTAGCAGAGAAAATAAATGTTAAAAACATTCATGAGGATCATTCATGAAACCCTAAGTAGCCATAGCTATTGAAAACCTATGCCAGAAAGTTCTGAGTTTGGCATAATGAAACAGTTGAAAACAACTATCCAAGTTGTACAAAAGACAGGAAACACTATTTGAGGGCCCTGGAGTGCATCAACACGGGGTGGATTCTGGGAGCTACAATTCTTGAA